>NC_000023.11:35445337-35595694 GCF_000001405.40 Homo sapiens
TAGTGTACCTGGAGACAGCATGGAAGTGCCATGCCCCTTCCCACTAAACTCTATACATTGCCCTCTGTATCTTTTCCTTCTGTCTGTTCATTTATTTCCTTTGTAATATCCTTTATAACAAACTGGTAAATACATGTTTCCCTGAGTTCTGTGAGTCTAGCAAATCAATAGGATCTGAGGAGGCTGTTATGAGAACGCCAACATACAGCCAATCAGTCAGAAGCACAAGTCACAACCTGGGGCTATCGATTAGCATCTAAAGTTGGGGGGTGCCATCTTGTGGGAGTGAGCCAATAACCTGTGGGACTGACTCTAAGCCCAAGTAGATAGTGTCTTAATTGAGTTAAATTAGAGGACAACCAGTTTTGTCTGCTGAGAATTGCTAGGTATGTGGGGAAAAATCACCACCAGAGAAATCTGGTGTCAGAAGCGTTGTGTAGTGTGATGTGTGAGAGTAGGAAAAGCACTTTGTTGTTGTTTTTTCCTGTTTCTTAGTACGCATGATCCTCCTCCCAGTCTCAGATGTCTTAGGCTTCTTCTATACTTGAATATTCCAATTCCGTTAATTTCCTGGTAAAATATAACCTCCTCCTTGAGGCCTTTTCTTTCTCCTCAGCCAGGTCCCCACCCCTATATTTCCATACCAAAACCAGTTACAACACTTTCCATGGTCTTAAAACTACTTGTTTACATCTTTCTTCCCTATCAGTCAGGGAGCCCTTGTAGGAAAGATCTAGCAATCAGGGTTCATTTGTCTTTGTATCTCAAAGTTGAGTATAGAACATAGTTCAGAGCTCAGCACCTGTTTAAATAAGGGCATAAACGCATGAGTGAATTGACAGACACTTGACCAAGGTTCAGAAAATCTGCAACCAAATTCCAAATCAGCGTATGTAATTTTTACGATGCAATAATTTTCTGTACTTGAATTATTTTCCAACACCTTTGGATTCTTAGGATAAAACAAAATATAAAAAAGAGTAGTCTTGCATTCAGATTTTCAGAAGATTTAATTGATTTTACATTGCTCTACAGATAATCATAGGAACTAGGACTACAGCTATGTAAAACTTGACATTCTAAGCAATGTTTTCACAAGAAAATGAAAACAATAAAAACTGCCTGAGAAACATGTTAAACTTCTTATCAAATTTAAAACCTCTTCCAATAAACAATGGAATACTCTTCAGCTACAAAAAAGAATGAAATACTATTATTTGCAGCAACATGGATGAGCCTGGCGGAATTATTATGTTGAGTGAAATATATCAAGCACAGAAACATAAATACCATAAATACAGCATGTTCTCACTCATATATTGGAGTTTAAAAAATGAGCTCATTGAAGTAGAGAGTAGAACTGCAGTTATTAAAAGCTAAGAAGGGAAAGGGAGGAAGATGGGCAGAGGTTGGTTAGGGAATACAAAATTAAAGCTAGATAAGATAAATCAGTTCTAGAGTCCTGTAGCACTGTAGGGTGAATATTATAAACTATAATTTATTGTATATTTTCAGAAAGCTAGAAGACACGATATTGAATATTCATAACACAAAGAAATAATAAATGAGGTGACATATGTGCTAATTATCCGGATTTGATCATTATACATTGTATACACATATTGAAATATCATCCTGTATCTCATAAATATGTATAATTATTATCTGTCAACTAAAAATAAAAAGGAAATATGTAGATGGGAAAATACCATAAAAAACAGCTAAGGGAGTGGAAAAATAATTGTCTCTAGAAATGGACCAGGAGGAGAAGAGCAGTAACTAATATTTTGTTATACATATTTTATAATCTGACTTTTAAAATATGTACTTATGTTACTTTGAAATGATAAAACTAATGTTTTAAATGAAAAAAAAAATAGTACACAGTTGGTAATGGGGAGTAGAGAGTTTGACACTGTGGCCTTGTCCCTTATGTTTTCTTGACACCTTTGGGTGTCTTGTGAATTCAGTCTGTAAGTCCTGAGGATTCAGATATTTCTTGATATCTGGTTCCACTGGAGGCCATTTCAGACAGATAAATATAAAATTTTTAAACCAGAAAAAATATACAGTCAAAATACTCTAAAAACATTGAGAGTTATTTGCAACATGGTCCTGATAATGGATAGGACTTGGGAGAGTGTTTCAAAATAAATATTAAGTAGAATAGCATGTACTTCAAATTTCTACTAGCAGAAAGAGGAATCAAGAATAATCCCCCAAACCTAGTAGTTGTCACCTTTTTAGAATTATGATATTGGTTAACATGCATACCTCACAGATATTTCAGGCTAGGTTCCATACCACTGCAATACAACAAACATCATAAGAAAGTGAGTGACATAAATTTTTAGTTTCACAGTGCATATAAAAGTAACTTTTATGCTATATTGTAGTCTACTTAGTATGCAGTAGATTATGGCTAAAGAAACAATGTGCACATCTTAATTAAAACATACTTTATTGCTAAAGAGTACTAACAATCATCTGAGCCTTCAGCAGCCAGTGGTAATCTTTTTGCTAGTGGAGGGTCTTGCCTTTATGTAGATGGTTGCTGACTGATCAGGATGGTGGTTGTTGAATGTTGAGGTGGCTGTGACAATTTCTTAAAATACAACAACAATGAAGTTCACTGCATTGATTGAATCTTCCTTTCAAGAAAGATTTCTCTTTTGCAAGCGATGCTGTTTGACGGCATTTTACCCACATTAAAATTTCTTCTTTTTCCCGAACATTTATTTTAGACTCAGGAGGTACATGTGCAGATTTGTTACCTGTGTGTATTGTATGATGCTGAGATTCGGGGTAATAATGTTCCCGTCACCCAGGTACTACTGAGAATAGTACCCCAAATTGGAATCAATCCTCTCAAAGCCTGCTACTGCTTTATTAACTAAATCTGTGTAATATTCTAAATCCTTTGTTGTCATTCCAACAACATTCACAATATTTTAACCAGGAGTAGATATCATTTTAAGAAACCATTTTCTTTGTTCAATCATAAGCAGCTACTCATCCCTTGAAGTTTTATCATGAGATTGCAGCAAGTCACTAATATCTTCATACTCCACTTCTTTTCTAGTTCTCTTGCTATTTCCAGCACATCTGTAGTACCTTTCTCCATTGGAGTCTTGAGTTCCTCAAAGTCATTCATGAGGGTTAAAATCAATTTCTTCTAAATTATTTTGACTTCTTCCCCTCACGAATAATGGATGTTCTTAATGGCATCTAGAATGGTGAATTCTTTCCAGAAAGTGTTCAATTTACTTTTTCCATATCTATCAGAGGAATCACTATCTAAGGCAGCTATAGCCTTTAAACATGTATTTCTTGAATAAGACTTGGAAGTCAAAATTACTCCTTGATGCATGGGCTGAAGAATGGATGTCGTGTTAGCAGTCATGTAAACAACATTAATCTTTGTGTATATCTCCATTAGAGATCTTGGGTGTCCAGTTGGAGTATCGATGAGTGGTCATATTTTAAAAGTAATCTTTCTTTTACTGAAAGTACGTTTCAACAGTGGGCTTAAAGTATTCAGTAAACCATGCTGTAAACAGATGTGCTGTCATCCAGGCTTTGTTATTTCATTTATAGAGCACAAACAGAGTAGGTTTAGCATAATTCTTAAGGGCCCTAGGATTTTGGAAATGGTAAATGAGCATTGGATTAAAGTCATCAGCTTCATTAGCCCTAACACATTTACAACATATGCATCAAAACAAATTAACTTACGTAAATGTCCTGTGGTCTGATAAATGCAACATAACTGAAAATGGATTGATCATCTCTCGTCTATGTAATAATTACTCCCTGTTGTATTCATAAATGGGTTTATTAATGTCAGATCAATCACTAAGACCACCAGTGCTTATAAAAACAAGAAGAATTCATTGCTCTCCAGGCAAGTGAGAACTAGGAATGTCACTCAAGGGACAGTTCTCAGGGTCTCACCAGGTTAAATGCAGAAGAGCCATGCTCAATACAGAAAGAGGAAAATTTGTCCACATTAAAATTTGGAAGGCTATGATTTGAATGTATAAAGAGAGAATTTTAAAATCTCTTTGGGGATTGGACATTGCACTGGTTCATATTACAAGAGTGTGGGCACAGAGACCATACTTTTAAATTAGCTGTAATAATAATTTTGTCCTTGCAGGGCAGGCTGAAAGCTTATGGGCCAGGACTTTGTTTCAATTGGCTGTGTACACCAATACCATACATCTTGTGCCATGCTGGGTACATAGTGCTTGCCAAAAATATTTTTTTGAGTAAACAAATGAGCACAAGTTATACATAGTAACAAAACAGCCAGAACTTTGCATCATCCGCAGAAATATTTGCCTTAATAATATAAATAATTATTTCCATTTTCAGCATAGTGCTGTGCCTTTTCATGTCTTTGCTTCAACTCCAAGAGATTTTCTTTAGTATGGGTTTTTGCATGGTTCTTAACTGATTTTTATCTTCAGTTAATATCCAGTTCTCATATATATATATATATATATATATATATATATACACACACACACACACACACACACACACGTGATACTTATTAGCTTAATAAGTGGTTTTGATACATCAATACTCTCAATCATATAATTTCTGTGTATGATAAAAAGCGAGGATGCCACCGTCTTTTTAATGACATATTAATTAAATTAATGACGTATCTCTCCTCCTGGAGGAACATGGGGGTGCTCAGAGTAGCCCACAGTGTGGTATAAAAGAATAATCAAAACTGAGGGATGATAGTAGGAGAAGTAAAAATCAAAAGCCATGTGATTTTTCATAGCTTGACAGATTATTTCTTTTCACTGATGAATAATATTCCATTGTCTGGATGTACCAGAGTTTATTTAACTATTTACCTGCTAAAGGACATCTTGATCACTCCCAAGTTTTGGTAATTATGAATAAAGGTGCAATAAGCATCCATGTGCAGTTTTTTGGGTGGACATAAGTTTTCAGCTCCTTTGTGTAAATACCAAGGAGTGTGATGGCTAGATTGTATGGTAAGAGTATGTTTAGTTTTGTAAGAAACTGCCAAACTGTCTTCTAAGGTGGCTGTACCATTTTTCATTTCAGTCAACAATGAATGAGAGTTCCTGTTTCTCCATATCCTCACCAACATTTGGTGTTTTCAGTGTTTTGGATTTCTGTCATTCTAATGCATATGTAGATTTATCTCAGTGTTGTTTCAATTTGTAATTCCCTAATGACATGTGAATTTGAACATCTTTTCATATACTTACTTACCATCTGTATATATTCTTCAGTGAGATGTCGGTTCAGGTCTTTTGGTAGTTTTTATTTTTTAATTTATTTTTAATTGTCCCATAATAATTATACATATTTATGGGGTACACAATGACATTATAATACATATAATGCATAGTATCAGATAAGAGTGATAGGCATATCCATCATCTCAAATATTTATAATTTCCTTTCCTTGTGTTGGGAACAGTTAATATAGTCTTTCTAGCCACATAATATACTGAAACCACATAATATATTATTGTTAACTATAGTCATCCTACAATGTTGTAGAAAACTAGAACTCATTTTTCCTATCTAGCTGTCATTTTGTATCTTTTAACAAGTGTCTCTCTATCTCCCTTTCTCCCTACTCTTCCCAGCTTCTAGTATCCTCTGCTCCACTTTTTATTTTTATGAGACCAACTTTTTTAAACTTCCACATATGAGTGAGAACACGTGGTGTTTTACTTTCTGTTCATGGCTTATTTCACTTAACATAATGTCCTTCAGTCCCCTCCACGTTGCAAGGAATGACAGGATTTTATTCTTTTTATGGCCAAATAGTATTCCATTGTGTATATATACACCATATTCTTTAAATCCATCCATCTGTTGTTGGGCATCTATGTTCATTTCATATATTTGTTGTTGTGAATACTGCTGCAATAAACATGAAATTGCATATGTTTCTTCAATATATTGATTTCTTTTCCTTTGGATAAATGCCCAGTAGTGGTATTGCTAGATTATATGGTTGTTCTATCTGTAGTTTTTTTGAGAAGCCTCTATACCATTCTCCACAGTGGTTGTACTAATTTACATTCCCATTAACAATGTGTAAGAGTTTTCCTTTCTCCACATCCTTGCAAATATTTGTTATTTTTTATCTTTTTCATAACAGCCATCCTAACTGGGGTAAGATGATACATCATTGTGGTTTTGATTTGCATCTTCCTGATGATTAGTGATGTTTAACATTTTTTTCATATATTTTTTGGCTATTTGTAAGTCTTTCTTTGAGAAATGTCTGTTCAGACATTTTGCCCGTTTTAAAAATCAGACTGTTATTTTGCTGTTGAGATGAAGTTCCTTGTATATTCTGAGTAATAATCCCTTGTCACTTTAATAGTTTGCAAATATTTTCTTCCCTTCTTCAGGTTGTCTTCTCTCTGTTGATTGTTTTTGTTGCTGTGTGATATGGTTTGGCTGTGTTCCCACCCAAATCTCAACTTGAATTGTATCTCCGAGAATTCTCACGTGTTGTGGGAGGGATCCAGGGGAAGGGAATTGAATCATGGGGTCCAGTCTTTCCCATGCTATTGTCATCACAGTGAATAAATCTCACGAGATCTGATGGGTTTATCACGAGTTTCTGCTTTTGCTGCTTCTTCATTTTCCTCCTGCTGTCACCATATAAGAAGTGCCTTTCGCCTCTCGCCATGATTCTGAGGCCTCCCCAGCCATGTGGAACTGTAAGTCCAATTAAACCTCTTTTTCTTCCCAGTCTTGGGTATGTGTTTATCAGCAGCATGAAAATGGACCAATACACTGTGTGTTTTTAAATCTGGTTATTTGTTTGCTTATTCTGAAAGTTAATAATTTCTTGTATATTTTTGATGAGGCCTTTATCTGATATGTCCTTTGCAAATATTTTTTTTTCAATCTGTGCTTGTCTTTCCATTGTCTTGACAATGTCTTTTGCACAAAAAAGTTTCTAATATTAATGGATTCTAGATTATCAATTATTTTATTTATTAATCATGGCTTTGGTGTTGTATCTAAAAAATTATTGCCAAACCTAAGGTCATTTAGATTTTTCTTCTATGCTATCTTCTTGGTGTTCAATTGTTTTACATTTTATTTTTAGGTCTGTGATCCACTTTGAGTTAATTTTTGTGAAGTATCTATGGCCTGTCTTTAGATTCATTTTTTTGCAAACAAATTTCCATTTGTTCCAACACACTTGTTGAAAAGAGAAACATTTCCCCATTGTATTGACTTTGATCCTTTTTCAAAGATGAGTTGACTATAACTATATGTGTCTATTTCTGGGTCCTCTATTCTGTTCCACTAATCTTTTGCCTATTCTTTTGCTCATTAATTACAGCATATTGACTACTGTAGCTTTGAACATGCATATTTAAGTTAAATTATTTATTAAATATCACATATTCCAAATATAAGAAATACAGATATAAGAAATCATTTTCTTATATGCTGTTATCATTGTTTCAAAAAACTCATACACAATATAGACATGAAAAATTGAGTTTTAATAGCAACACTAGTATTTGAAATAGTACTGCCACTGAAATCATTTTTCTATTTTACTATAAATTACTACTGCACTTTAAAAGCGATATTTGCAACTCAAGTTAATTTTAAAACATGCACATAACTCAGAAATGATGTATGACATATTCAGAAAATAGATTTATAGTCAGCATTCGGAAAGACAGGAAAACATAGAAGCCCTATTATAATTAAACATTAATTCATCAGAAATATTTCAAAAACTAAAATAGCAATTATGAAAATATTTTTAAGTATATTTAAGACCAAGACATATTTTAAAAAAAAATCTTCAACACCAAAGAAGCACTTTTGATAGCAGAAGACATCCCTGTTCCTATGAGTGCAGCATTCCCATAGGTTAAATTGCACCAACAAATTGGCTTGCAATTGGTTATTTTTTAAAATTTAAACTTTTATTTCAGATTTGCGGGGGCACATATGCAGGGCTTTTACCTGTGTATATTGTGTGATGATGAGGTTTGGGGTACAATTGATCCTGTCCCCCAGGTACTGAGTATAGTATCCAAAAGTTTTTTGTCCCTTGCCCCTTTCTCTCCCTTCCCCCTCTAGTAGTCCACAGTTTCTATTGTTGCCATCTTTATGTCTATGAGTGGGTAATTTTTGTTATTAGCATTGATTTTACTTGTACATTCTTTGGTGGCATGGTAAATTGAGGTAATCTGTTGTTATTAAACAACCGGTACATATCCACTGTTTAGAAACAAAGAGAAGGAGAAACTGCATATGAAGTATCCAGGAAATGAGAGAATACTAAGAAACAATTTAGCATAAGTGACAACTTTTCTTCTCCACGTAGGGTGCAGAAAAGGTACAAAATTGAGAGTGCACTTAAAATGACAAAAAAACATGAATAAGAAATTCAGGAAAGCATTTGTCTTTATGAATTAAGAACAATTCACCAAAAAATCTCTCAGTTAGAGGTCTGCCGTGTAGGTGAACTAAGCATGCATCAATTTTGAAGGGAAGCTATTTAGTTCGTACGAAATTGTTGTCTACAGTGAACAGTAACTAATAGAAATGGTACCTTGCAAGATAAACTTACACATGAGAATTTAAATGTGAACATAAAGCCTACTGATAAAATATGATGAGTTTCTGCTTTTTAGATTAAGCAAGTCTATAATTAATATAACCATTCAAATATACTGGTAGTGGTATAACTTCATTAATGACACACGTAATTGATATTCAATTCAGAACAATTTTTACAGTTTTTAAGCAATTCTTAATTTCTTCTGCCATATATGGATAGGAAGGCAATATTGAATTAGGCAGTCTAGCATTTTCTGCATGTTTGTGATCACATTTAAGTTCCATTGCTCTCACAAAATTTCCTGAAGCTGCCTATGTTTATCTAGGCCTTCTTTTTTATATTAAGATTTATACCATGTACATTCAGAAAACCCATTCAGGAGAAGTCCAAGCCAGGTAAATATTGTAGTGTGTCAAGATTTGATGTGTAATGTGATCTTTTTCAATGAATATTGATTAAGTGCAGAAATTCCTTGCATATCTGGCCTTTCCACCTTATGTTTCAGTAATTCTAATTGCAAAAGAAAAGTGATAACTCAAATGAGGATAGAATAAATAATTTGTAAAGGGCTCATCGATGTGAATAGCTTGTTGGGTTTTTTTTTTGCTTACACCTTCACGTTGCTGCCTTGAGTTGAAAAACAAGTCAAAACTGAATGACAAATTGTCTAGTATATCTTTCTAAGAAGATTGTTGTGAGAATTAATTGAGATAATATATATAAAGTGTCAAGTACATAATAATTAAGACACTAGTTATCATTATGACATATACATTAACAAGAATGATTGATGTTTATTTTTAGCCTTCTAAATTTCTGATAACCAAGGTATAAATATATATATGTAATGTTTTAAATGATTTCCAGTACACAATTAAATTATTTGAGACTGATATCTGTCTCAAAAAAATTAAGCAGTTCAAATAAAGCATGTTCGTAACGTATAAATATTTTTACTTTTAATTCCACAGCAACAAGTAAAATTTTACTTATACACATCTTAGGATATATTTAATGCTTGCCTTCAAAATATCCATTCCTTCTTTCTTCAGCAATAATTCACAATGTTTATTTGAAGACTCACCTCTGCAGAGTTCTCATTTTAAATTTTTTATTCTATCTTTCTTTCAAGAATCAAACGTGTCCTGCATTCCTTTGAGCAAAGTCTTTTTACTGACATATAATAGTTGTACATACTTTGGGGGTATATGTGATATTTTGATACTTGTATACTATGTGTAATGATAAAATTGGGGTAATTGAGAGATCCATCACCTCAAATATTTATCTTTTCTTTCTGTTAGAACATTATAATTCTTCTCTTTTAACTACTTTGAGATATACAATAAATTCTTATTAACTATATATTTTTACTATACTATCAAATACTCGAACTTATTTCTTCAATATGGCTGTATTTTGTACCCCTTAACAAACTTCTCTTTATCCCCCCTTTCCTTCCCAGCCTCTAGTAACCATCATTCTTCTCTCTATCTTCAAAAGATTCACTGTTTCAGCTCCCACATATGAGTGAGAAGATGCAATATTTGTGGTTTTGTGCCTGGCTTATTTCACTTAACATAATGACCTTCAGTTCCGGCCATGTCACTGCAAATGACAGGATTTCCATCTTTTTATAGCTAAATAATATTCCAATGTGTATGTATACCACATTTTCTTTATCCATTCATCCTTTAATGGACACTAAGGTTGATTCCACATCTTGGCTGTTGCAAACAGTACTGCAATAAGCAAGGGAACACAGATATCTCTTTGATATACTGATTTCCTTTCTTCTGGATATAGACCCAGCAATCAAAATCACCATGAGTAATCATCTCACTCTGGTTAGAATGGCTACTATTAAAAAGACAAAAAATAACAAATTCTGGCAAAGATGCAGAGAAAGGGGTATATTCATACAATGTTGGTGGGAGTGTAAATTAGTGCAGCCATTATGGAAAACAGTATGGAAGCTCCACAAAAACTAAAAATAGAACTACCATATGATCCAAAGTTATTTTTTAAGCAGTGGGCATATGACTAAAGAAAAACCAAATGGGGATTTTTGTAAGAGACCCAAGAAAAATAAAATATGTTCTTTTTATGTATCAATCTTTAAAAACAAATTTATACTCTGTGATTTTTTGACATCTTAAAAAGCTTGCTGGCCAGGGAGAGACTGCCCTTCTCAGAGCTAGCACTTTCTTAGTGTTAGCAAAAGGCTTGGGCCTATAGGAGGTCTGTCATATACAAACCAATCAATCCCAGTCTATAGGTCCAACCACCTCATTTTTTCTCACATACCAAGCCCATATTTCTCCTGCCTTAAATCACAAAAGGGTCAGGTACCAGAAAAACAGCCACATCTCTAGCTCAAAGCCCAATAAAATTATTCAAACTAGCCGATCTTAGCTTGATTATTCCTCCTTGCCTTGCTTTTCTCATGGAAATTCCAATAAAGACTCTGGCTTTGACCTTCCTCTCTTGACTTCTACCACCAGACCAAAACCTGGTGCTTCCCCTGGGGTCCTGTGTGGTGCAGTGACTCCTCTCTGCAACCAGTGTTAATAAACTGCCTTCCAAGCCTTGTTCTAATATCATCCTGTGGCCATGTTGGCTTTACCATACCGTATCCAACATTTAAATTCTTAAAACACTTTACTGATCTACTTGAATTTACGAAAAAGACGGAACCAGTAGAGTCAAATGCCCCATGAAGGAAGGTACTAGAGCTGTGGGACCACCACAAGCAACCTTGAAATGAAGTCTACACAGATCAAGAGATGAAAAGAAACTCAGTCCGGACAACTTTTTTGAATTCTAAATCCAACCATGGTTGAAGCTGTTTCTTAAAACTTACAGTAATGTGAGCTAAATATACACTTTGTTGTTTAATCCAGTCTGATTTGGGTCTGTTGACAATTGCAACAGAAACAATCCTGATTCCAAAATTAGTACCAAAACAAGGAGAGCTGAATGTGATAAATCCTAAATTATGCAATTTGCTGAGAAGAATTGAGGTGGAAGCCATAAGGAACAGTTATTTTGGGACTTGGTAATTTTTATTAAATAGTAACCAGTCAGTAAGTTAAAATGTTACCTATTTTATTTGAGACTAAAGCCATGCCATTGCAACTGCATCATCTGAGGCTTGGAAGTAAAAATTCAGGAAGGACCTTAGAAAATGTTGTGTTGCCTAATATTTTATCTGTCTCGCCAGGGATATATAATAAAGATTCAAGCTATGACATCTGGGCACATAACCATCAATGTTAAACTTTAGTTGCCACTTGTTTGAGACTAAGCCTGTCAGATGAATTATCCTGGATGTCTTGACAGATATTATGTGACTAGATTGTAGATGAACAAAACAAACTCATTATCTGTTTATTATTTCCAGTCTTTATTAACGGTATCGACACTTTCCAACTCACCTAGGTCAAAATATAGAGACAGGTTTGACTGCACTCTTTTCATTAGTCTGCATGTCTACTTGGTATCTCTTTTATCAATACTGTGTCTTCACTCCCAAGACTTCCCGCTGGTTGATGTCTCATTACCTATTGCTTCTAATGATCTATGAGATTAATTCTCTATCTTTATTTAATATCTCTTTCTTACATTGATTATATTCTTACATCAGAGGGAAAATTGGAGGAAAATGATCAGGTGAAAGAGAAGGATCATGAGCAAAAGTACAGAAATGAAAATAAATGACTATTGTAATTTTGTTAAGGAATTGGAGGAACCTTGTCCAGGGACAGCACAGACTTATCATAACAGAGGAGAAGTGGTAAGTAATGCTGAATGAAAAGCATAAAGTCATGTTTTAGAAGGCTCTGAAAAGTGGCAGAGGAATTCTGACTAGATATGGTAATAATTGGTTATGCTTGTAAAATGACATAGTTTACAAAGCACAATAGATGTTTTAATTTAAATTTTGATTTGTGACAGGCAATCTGTACTACAGATGAGAAAATGAAACCAGAATGGTTTGGAGTCTTCAAAAAAATACATATCTAATGGAAGGGCACCTGACTTCGTGCTCAGTGTTCTTTCTTCATTTATTCTACATTACCTTCTGCATTTTTATGCAAAAGATCAAAATGACTGATATTTTATTTAACAAGTGTGCTCTGCCTGCATTAGAAATAACCCTTTGGAAATAAGTGGTTTACGATGTAGAGGACAAAGCTGTTTTCTATGTCTGAAGTGAAATAGAGGTTATCAGGTTAGGGGAGTGAGCACAAGGATGTTAGAATTTGCATGAATAAGGCTTTGGGGGTATCATTTAGAAACAAGAAACAGTTTCCTGTAATAATGTTAACAAATAAACCAATGATGATAACAAAGAAACATTCCTCTGCATATCACAGTTAGAATGTATGAGTAAACTTCCTCTCTAGCACAGTGATAAACATCAAAAGGATACACACCTACACTGTTAAGAAACCAGATATCAGCAGCTAGAAGAAAGCATTACAGGGAAGTCATACAGTCAAATTTCATATGGATTCAGTATAGCATTGATATAAAAATAAATAAAAATATTTCTGGAAAAGTTTATGAGACTTTTGCTGGGGTAAAATGTGTTTTGCTATTTTGGAAAAGAAAAATGAATATTTCACCAAAACACTAAATCATATTTGTATAACGAGCAGATAGAATATGAAGGGAGAGGATAGAAAAGGAGTGGGGTGCACTGGGGATCACTGATGAGCAACTTTTTCACACCAACAACATTGCTACCACTGGCAATAAACTCAATGCATCAGGGAACCGAAATGCCAGCCCAATATTGGTAATCTTTGTCAGAGAGTAATAAAATGGATTAAATAAATAAAACTAAACAAGGTAAAGAGATGCTATCTTAATGCCTCTAGAATCAATGAGTGGGCTTGTTTACTTGCTTGGTAATGTTTTTGTTTTTTACATTTTTGCTTCATAGTTGTTTAAATTTGTTTTTCAAATGAAAATAGATATGTAAAAAATAAAATCATAAGTATTAAAATGATTACAGGAAATAGGGAATTCAAAGTCACTATTACAAGCCGATTTTTAAAAAAGAATATAGTAGGTGTTCACAGTGCTTTTATATTCAATTCAATAATTTTATTTTCTACTTGCTTATTTTTAAAAATGGGAATTATAAAAACTATCAGTAGTTAAAAGGTTATGAGGATATTATCAAAAGTAACAGCAACAATAAAGTCACCTCTGATACACTGCAACAAACAGAAGAAACACAGTGGAAAAACTACCTGGCAATTTTTGAGATTCTGCTTTTTAAAGTTTACATAAAGTTAAATTGACATAAAATTATATGGATTAATTGCATTTCAATTGCTAGGCACAAAGCTATTATGCATTTAAAGCATACTGCATAATCAATTTTACTGAAAATGAATCCAATTTATCAATAGCTTTTCTTTGTTGATTATTTTGACTGATAAAGAGTAAAAGCAGCCATCATATATAGTAGTGTGAAGAAAGACCATTTCTAACATTTGATACACACACATCAAAAGGTATCAATAACTGTAATCTCTGAATGGATCAATTTATATAGTTTCTCTTTGGCTCCTAAAGTGTGAGCTAAGATAACCAGTTGCATTATTCTTTTATCCTATATACCAGACATTAGCAATTTTAAAAGGCAGACTCTAAAAATAGTGATTCATTGATCTCTAATGTCTCATTTCAATAGTCTGAAGATAAGCACTACTGAGCTACTAACATTTTTGTGATTTTGAAGAATAATTCCTGATCTTCGCTTCAGAAATCAATATCTGCATATAATGATAAACTGATATAATTGCTAACCTAATATAAATATTTTTTGATGAACTACATTTTTTGGGAAGACATTCACAAATAGTTACTGACATGAAACTATTAGGACCTTATATCTGAATAGTATAGTTTTGGGGAACAATGTGATGTATACCCATCTTCAATGAAGGACTTACTGCCTGAGCTGCTGAGAGTGCTGTGGACATAATCTTTTTGACCGTCATTCCCTTCAGGGATTGCCTCAACTGCAGAGTCATCTCCACCAAGGTCCCATTCCTTTCCAGATTGGTCTACATGAGGTATCAAGTCAATATAGATATATAAATTCCTGGCCAGATCAGCCTTCCTGTATCTGCAGAGGCAAGCTTAGAAACTAAGTCCACTGGTGCTGTCCTGATGACTAGGACTTTGGGAGTAGACTTGAATCTGGAGTAGTCCTTAAGCCTGGGGCCAAGGGGGTCAGCCTGGTACTAGGGGGCAGTCCGGAGCCTGGGGCCACCCTAGCCCTAAGGTGAGCCTGGTGACTGAGTCTTATGGGTGTACCTACAGCCTGAGTCAGTAAGAGTTGGTCTGGTGCCTGGACAAAACTGACACATGAGGTTTCTGCACCTAGTCCATCACTGACACCATTTCAGAACCTGTAGCTTTTGGAATTGGGTTGGCAGTGGGCAGCCTGTGGATGGACTTCAATGGTGAGACTGGAGCCTGCTGCTACAATATCAAGCCTGGCATCAGGGCAGGCCTGGAGCTTGAATCATTGATTACTGGCCTAGTGTCTAAGGCATAGTGATATGCTTGATGTTGGGATCTACGGCAAAATTTAGTGCTCTCTTTCCTTCCGCCAAGGGAAGGATAGCTCTCTTTAAGCTGTGTTGCCTGATGTTGAGGTAGAGGTAATGTGAAAATATGGATCTTTCCTAACCTCTTCAATGCATCTTTTTTTATTTCTGTGTTATGCTTAGATGTTACAGTCTCTCACCCAGTTTCCTTAGCCCTTGTGAATGTGTTTTGTGAGTGGACAGTTGTTCAAACTGATGTTTCTGTGAAGTCCTACTCTGCTGTATTGTCATCTTCTAGATCTTCTAGTAAATTTTTCATTTTAAATACTATACTTTTCAACCCTAGAATTTCCATTTGGTTATTTCTTTTAATTTATGTCTCTTTATTGATTTTCTCTATTTGATTTGCCATCTTTATTAAACAAGTAAGCTTTATTTTTGTAATCATCATTTCCTTTAGTTCTTTAATCATATTATGGATAATCTGAAGTTCTTATCTAAAATTTAACATCTGGTTGTTCTCACAGGTAGTTTCTTTGGCTATTTTTTTCCAGTGTAGGGGTAATACTTTCCAATTTCTTTGCATGGCTAATAATGTTTTGTTGGAAACTGGACATTTCAGATAATAGTTCTAGCAATTCTGAATACTGATACCTGGCCTACACCCCCGGGGCATTTTAGGAAGAGTATAAGTCAACTTCCTCCTCTGCCTCATTGTGAAGTCTGCTGTTGCTACTCAGGGTGCATAACCTTGGGTAAACTTATAGGCATCAGTGGGATAAGAGTGGCTTGGTTGTCTTTAATTGGCTCTTTCTCTTTTTCCTCACCAAAACCAGCTGTTAAGCACCACTAATTGCTGCCTGATTGCTTTATTGTTTTCAACAATGCCCTGAGGGTCTTAATTGCTTCACAGAACACTCCAGTCAAATATTAACTCCTTTCAAAAGATGGTTCTGGAACTCAGATTTTGAGATATATTCTGACCACAAGAGGACTTGTCCCAGGTGTCTCTCTCCAGGTTTCTCTCCAGAATACTAAACAGACTATAGTTTAGCCTGTATAGCCAATGAATCTATCAATTTTCTCTCCCAATTTTCTTTCATTACAACTTCTACATTTTTTGAGGCATGAACTCCTTCAAAATCTGTTCAATTAAAGCGAATTCCTTAGAGACGGAATTTGGAGGTTTCTTTTCTAAGTCTTGCTTCCCTCCTCCTCCCATCCCACAGAAATATTTATGTGTGAAAGTTCTAGTTCTGGGGGAAGAAATATTGACGCATTTCACTTTAAGTGAACCTCCTCTTTAGTTGCTGAAGGCTAGGCAGATGTTGTAGCAGAACCCCCAAATTTCTTTGGCTTGCCTCCCTTGGCATGGAACCCCCAGTCTTTAAGTTTGGGCATGGGGAATCAAGTCCCCTGTATTCTCAGAGGTGCATCCTGACCTCAGCTACCTGTTGCTAGACTATGATCTGTGTATATGAGGCCGAGAGGTGAAGGGCTTTCTTCTGTTCTATGAGTGGGTTCTGAGAGAAAGAAGAGAGACCCTCACTTATTGGATGAGAAATGTTGACATACTGCCCCTCTTGAGAAGACAGCCTTATAACTAGGAGCTGTGGAGAGAGGGAGTTTTTATTTCTGCTATTAGTTTGCAGTGGAATGTCCACCTCACTTAGCTTATGCAGGTGATAGAGAACATGGATGTTGGTACAAAAATTAAACTTTCATGATTCTTACTGCAAATAGTGAAGTAGAGGCTCCTCTTCAAAGAGATTTTCCTCCCCATCTAATTAAGAATAAATAGTAACTTCTCTTAGAAGCAAAATTTATTCAAAGACCTGTGATAATATTCTTAGATATCTGCTAGCTGTAATAAAGAAATCAACATACTTTGTGTTCTTAGTTCCCACAATTTACTCTAAATATTTGCTCTGGCATGCTTATACTGGTCCAAGCAAGCATTAGGTCATAGCCTGTTCCTCTTCCTTATTTGGAGGTGTTTTTACCTTTCTCAGGATTCCACAAATTACTTCCTCTTTCCTTTGTTCTCTTCTGCCTTTGCCTCTTTTGAAAAGTTCTAAGTTGCTAGCCAATCAGGACAAATACAGAATGTGAGGTCCCATTCCAGCCAATGGAAACCAGACACAGCAATAGGGTGGACGCATCAGGTTATAAATGACCCTGTCTCCTTTTTTCAGTGTACTCTCATGGCAAAACTGCTGGCGAGTGTACCCTTTCTGCAGAAAGTTAAAAAAAAATGGCCTTGATGAGAAAGTTAATGTTCAAGAACTATTTCTTTGTGATACTGGAGAACAAGCATTTCTAACATTACCATGTTTTAGTAGATTTTCTTCAATAAGTGTTTTTATACTTGCAGTATACCATTGGGAACATTTTCAGAGAATTTAAATGGCTCCTTTCAAAGTAATTTTCACTACTTGAGATGGCAATGGGGTCTTTGGAGGGCCTTACACTGTCATGCCCAATTTTGTTATGACCTAATTTAAGAATATAATTTGTCTTGACCCAGTACACACACACACAACCACATACACACACAAACACACACACTTAAAACCTAAAACCAAATCCAAATTTTGTGGAACAATATTTTTCCTTACTAAGTGTGATTCTCTCTGCTATTTTCTAATCTATTTTGCTTAATTAGAAAAAGTTGGAATATCTAAATTGATTTTACCCCCGCTAACAGATTGTGATTCATACATTATGTAACACTGCTCAAGTTGATTTGCAGTTTTGTTCATTCTTTTATTTTATTAATTCAACATATAATTATTTAGCACAGTAGTTCAATTTTCATTCTGGGCAGTACAAATCTGAATGAAACAATGATTTGTTCAGAGGAACATAGAATCTACTTGAGCAGTCTGTTAAAAGTGAAAATACTATTGACAAGAGACATGACATTGAAGATTTTCAAGTGGAGGTATTGTGATTATACCTATACTAGGAAATCAATTCTGGTGTTGACATAAATGTTGCATAGGTAGTGGGGAGAAATCAGAATCTAGTATACCAGTTTAGGGCTGTTGCAGTTAAGTCAAGAAACATTATGTGAACCCAAATTTAAATGTTATAATAGCATTAGATAAGTGAGAGTTGAGAGATGACAATATAAAATACATGTAGGATATAGACTCAGTAAGATGCAGTAATAGGGTGATATCAGCATAAGAATGCTCTCGTGCAGTGGAGGATGCATGTAACATCATTTACTTAACAAGGGGAAAAAGTGAGAGAAAGAATATGTTTGAGGAAAGTAGAGAAGAAAGTGTTTCTCTATTCTGCAAATCTGATCATTTGTCTTTCATAATTGAGAAATATGAACTGTCAGAAAAACCTTAACTAAAAACTCTGGTGGAAATTTTAGGGATTAAACAGAGAGTTACACGCCACTGAGTTAAAATGGAGAATATTCAGTAGCTCTGATTTTTGTGCAATTAAATAATTTTGATGTAAATGTTTTATGTAAGTATTTGGCACTTTTTGGTGTTTCTTTTAGTGTAATGACTATTGTCACTTGCATTTTAGTGATACGTAGTTTATTTAAAAAGAAAGCAATGTATTTAACAAGTACATACCACACGATCACTTTAAATTAAGTGTCAATATAAGCAAAGGCTCCAGGAGCTTTACACTTCTATTTTTATTGTTTCATTCAGATTTGTACTGCCCAAAATGAAAATTGAACTGGTGTGCTAAATAATTGTATGTTGCATTAATAAAATAAAAGAATGAACAAATAAACTTAAACTGCAAATCAACTTGAGCAGTGTTATATAATGTATGAATAACAATCTGTTAGCAGGGGATAAAATAGATTAAAAATAGAAATAATTTTTTCAAGCAATACTCAACATTTTTCCTTTTCTCTGTTCATTTAAACAATAACAATACATTTTTTTTCTGCCCATCGTACTGCCTAATTAATGCCTGAGTTAGAAGTTCAGAAATCACTTTGACGCCAATAATTGTACGTTATAACAAGACTACATTCCCTTTGTACCTGTGCTACTGAAAACAGGCAGTGGTAACAGGCATTTGTTCAGAAATAATTATAAAGTTGCCTTTAGCTTAAATGCTCTAGTAAAAACTTTGTGTGACAGTTTCTAGTGAAATTTTACCTACTTGAGAAATTTGAAAAATTGTAAATACCTTTGCAGTTAATAAAATGATTATTTTAAGAGACATTTCCATTATCGATGGTTCATTTTATATTTCATTGTTTCAAATCAAAATATTTTAACTTATATTATTCTCTTCAACACTTCAGAATTTTTTGTTTACACTGCTTTTTTTTTTTTTTTTTTTTTGAGACAGAGTCTCCCTCTGTTGCCCAGGCTGGAGTGCAGTGGCGCGATCTCGGCTCACTACAAGCTCTGCCTCCCGGGTTCACGCCATTCTCCTGCCTCAGCCTCCCGAGTAGCTGGGACTACAGGCACCCACCACCACGCCTGGCTAATTATTTGTATTTTTAGTAGAGATGGGGTTTCACCAGGGTCTCGATCTCCCGACCTCGTGATCCGCCCACCTGGCCTCCCAAAGTGCTGGGATTACAGGAGTGAGCCACCATGCCTGGCCACAATGCCTTATGTTTTAATCAAAGCTTCCAAAATTTCTATCTCAAATCACCTAAACTTTATAAAGTCCTTGAAAGATTATAGAAAATAATATATTAATATCAAATTCGCTTTATGATTATCATACTTTTCACTGTGTTAAAAGACTTTCTTTTATTATTATTATTATTATTATTGAGATGGAGTCTCATTCTGTCACCCAAGCTGGAATGCAATGGTGCGATCTCGGCTCACTACAACTTCTGCCTCCCAGGTTCAAGTGATTCTCCTTCCTCAGCCTCCCGAGTAGCTGGGAATACATGTTCCTGCCACCACGCCCGGCTAATTTTTGTATTTTTAGTAGAGATGGGATTTCACCATGTTGACCAGACTGGTCTTGAAGTCCTGATCTCAAGTGATCCACCCACCACTATGTCCGGCCCAGACTTTTATGTTTTATAGTTAAAACTTATTTCCTGGACAAAATAAAAATAAAACAAGACAGAACAGTGGAAATAAGCTAACTTTTGCAAAGTAATATTGTTTTTCTTTACCAGTGATCTTTGGGTGAAACCTTTTCTTCCTATTTCATTTATTGCCTTTCATGACATCAGACATCCTTGACTATTACTTCTATAGAACTCACTTGTATTACTAATGTTGCTTTGTATTTTCTAGTGTATATTTAAGGTTTAAATTTTATGTTGATCAAAGTTCTATAAATGTCAAAAAGAAGAAATTCTCTAATCTGAAGTTTTGAAAAATCTCTGGATTGCTGTCAGGTAGGAAGTATGTGGTACATGACTCAGGATTTGTGAAAGAAAATGTAAATATCAATCCATTAAATCTGATTATTTCCCCATTGTCTTGGTTTATATCCTGCTGCAAAAATCCTAAGGTTAAACATTAATGCTGTTATGCAGCTTTGAGTCTGATACTTGATAATTTGTGAAATGTTTACAGAATAATAATCAGGAGATATTTTTAAATTTTTGAAAAGTGTCATTATTACCAGAGTGATAAAATATTCAAGTTTTTTTTTTCAAACACACCTTACATTTACAGCATACAAGGAAACAATGACATCCATACAGAACTTTAGTAGAACTCAATGACCCAACTGAAAATTAGTCATTTGTAAATACACTGAAATGTGAAATGACTGGTCACAACAACTACCATAAAGCCTTCTGTTTACACTACTCTTCCATTGATATATTTATTCTCTCTTTTTTAGTTTTATACTTGCTAACTGAGATGACAGAACTTTACAGGCTCATTAAGAATTATTTGGCCTGAAGATGAATTGCTATGATCTGAAATGAATTGTGTTACATTTAAGATTCCAGTGACCATCTTCATGCCAAGGTTGATTACATTTAAAATGAAAACTTTGAAAGAAGTTGAGGAATTTTCTCTCAGAATAAAGCAGGGGAGGAACACACTGCACAGGAGATTGTAAGTGAGGAATTTAAAATCCAAACTGACTGCGTCCTACTAAAAACAAAAAAAAAATTAGCCGGGCGTGGTGGCAGGCACCTGTAGTCCCAGCTGCTCGGGAGGCTGAGGCAGGAGAATGGCATGAACCCCGGAGACAGAGCTTGCAGTGAGCCGAGATCGTGCTGCTACTCCAGCCTGGGCCACAGAGTGAGACTCTGTCACAAAAAAAGAAAAAAAAAAAATCCAAACTGACCAGGGAGATGCAGGTAGGAGCTAAAATGCAGCCTCTGAAAGAAGCCAAACAGTAAAACATGGAAGAAGACAAAAAGGAGATTCAGGGGGGATTCATTGATCTTCTCAGAAAATGTGTATTGAGTATTGTGGAAAAGGGTTTGATAGCATGGACTGGTTATGGAGGGTCTAGACTGGAATCGTAGCCTAGGTGCATGACTTCAGGACATTTATGTAACTTTTCTGTACCTCAGTTTCCTCATCTGTTAAATGAAGTTGGTAACCCCTGTAAAGCCATCAAATCAATGTTCGACATGTGGCAAGTGCTTTATAAAGATTAGCCAATATTACTATGGTCATCACTATCATTGTGGTTATTGTTTCAACATTTTATTACCAGTAAGTGATCCAACAAATGAGAGATAAGACAGAGTGCCCATTCTCAAAAAGCTTTATCTATTGCAGTTTTTCAGTTATGAGTTTAAAAGCAACTGATCTTTTTAAAACACCTTACATACATTTTTAAAATATAAAAGATAAATATAAGTTACATAAAATATAAATGAATAAATGAATTGCTGCCACTGAAGTTGTAATGGGGAATCAATCAGGATATATTATGCTGTTGTATTGTTTATTCTTTGGTTTCTAATTACCTAGTTATTAATAATTGAGCCTGTGACCTGGGGATAACCCAATACTGTCCAATATTTGCTAGAATGTTTTCATAAATCAGAGTATAAGGTGTTCCCTGTCTCTGAATCAATTTCATTATCTTTGATTTTCAAACTTTTTAAAATCCAACAGAAAATATGCAAAATATCCAAGAAGCCAAAATGAAAAAATAAAATCTTAACTACAAAAATTTAGGAGCTTAAAAGTTGTAGATATGGAACATACATATTAGTGAAATAAGATTAATCAGAACTTTATTTAAATACCCATGGGGTTGATAGTTGGTAAATTAGTGTTGCTACAAGAACATCTCTATAATCAGTTAATGAAATAATATGACTTCTTTATTAAGAGTTAAAAATTAACATGTAAACAAAGAAGCTTTATGTTAGTTATAGCGGAAGTTGAATACCTGATATAATTTTAAAGAGAAACTGTTTTCAGAAAACTATGATCCACTCTTCAGCATTTCTAAAGTTGAGGCAAAGGAACCAAGTTTGATATCTTCAGAGAAAATCTTTTTGGCCACAGTGTCCTATGCAGTTTGTTCTTTAATACATTCTTCTATTTTTTAAAGAAAATTCAAGAACATTAAGGCTACCCATGGAATTGAGAAAATTATTATTGATGACTGTCTCTATGCATGGATAATAAAAATAATAGCCTCATTTATTAAACTTTTGTCACTTCAAATTTCAATCAAGTATCTTAAATGAACTTGGGAGAAGACTTTAATTAGAAATGGGGAGAGCTTAGACTAATTTCCACGAGGGAACAGAGCAGACAGGAGCCTGGGGCCTGGAACCGCAACCCTTAGTGAATGAGGCAGAGGGATCCTCTGTGGAGGAAGAAGGTGCAAGGATTGTTCCCTTGATATGAGAGAGAGGCTCATTGATGGGAAGATTTAGTCCCAGGCCTGACGTGATGTTTGTCTACTCTCAACACTCAAGAGTACCTGCTGCTTGTCAATGGAGTCTTCACTACTTGGGTGGAAGTCACTACCTAACTGTGTAGCACAGTGTCCCACCCCATCTCCTCTGTGATGATATGTAATTACCAGCTTCTCCAGGCCCCACTGGAACCCTGGGCCCCTGTTCCAGGAGTAGAAAGCCTGAGCAGTGGCGGTATTAGCCTTGAGAAAGATGAAAATGTGAGCAGCCAAAGGAATCATCCAGAAACCCATGAAGCCTGCAGTCGAGCCATGTGAGTCAGGGAAGGCAGTGTGGGGAGGGGAGGAGGATGGCAAATATGAGACATCTCAGAAATACCCTCCCTTTTAGAGGGAGAGAGAGGAAATGAGGAAACCAGACCAGAAAAACAGATGTGTTACAAATATACATCTGGACTATAATCTTAAGTTCAGGTTCTGTGCAAATATCTGTCATCCAGTCAACTACCAGTGCATTAGTTATTATAGTTTTGCCTCTATGATGTTCATATCCAATTACATAATAATATAATGATCAATATTTCCTTTGTTAGATAAATATTTTTAAATGGCAGCTTTTAAAATGACTTCTCAAGTATATACCCTTGCTCCGTGGTACTGGCACAAGTATTTGTGAGAAGGACCAACGTTGCACTAATCTGTAATTTGTAATTTCACAGAGGCACACATTTGAATTGCACAAACTAGGGGAGAAATAACAAGTCACTGTGCCTGGCCTCCCTTCTAGCATATCCAGAAGAATATTGTTCAGTCTCATTTATCCCATATGCAATTATAAAAGCAGTTTTTAATTTTGTAAACTAGATAAAAAATTAAAGATATTAATCACTGCTGATGATGCTAGAGTTTAAAAATTGAAGTAATCTGCAAAACTCACGATTTTAAGAAGGAAAACAAAAATGTTGGTTACATTAGAGAATGCACTGGTGAAGCAATAGCTTCACCATGTGATTTATGATGGGAATGGGCCTCCTATAGGTTTTATGAGGAAACAAGAAAAAACTTTGCTAATATGACTTTAGTGGATACTGTGGTTTATAGAAAATATGCTCATCCATTTTTTTAAAAAAATCATTAGTGAAAATTGAAGAGTCATTTTACTTGAGGTCTGGCAAATGTGTAACTCTCAAGAGAAATAAAATTTAAAAGACATTTAGCAGGTATCCCTTCATCATCATCTCTCCTATTTCATTAATATCAGCTAATTTGTTTTTAGCCCTACTGGAGTTATAATATGTTATTAGGCTGGGTACAGTAATAGCAAAACTTACTGCAATAACCTTATAGAGGAAGTATCCTATATTTATATAATTATTGAGGATTTTTAAGAGATTGATTTTATTTTTTTTTATATGCTACCATCCTTGATGGGGGAAATTATATGCTAGAGCTAGGTTGGAAATCCAAACACTTAATATATCTCAATCTAGAACATCAAGATCATACTATATCTCCGGTTATTTTATTTATTAGCAAGTATTTTTAAGCCCTATGTTTGTTACATATCCCCATATATTAGTTTCTTCTCACACTGCTATGAAGAAATACCTGCGACTGGGTAATTTATAAAGAAAAGAGGTTTGATTTACTCACAGTTCTGCATGGCTGGGGAGGCCTCAGGAAACTTACAATCATGGTGGAAAGCAGCTCTTCAAAGGGTGACAAGAGAGGATGAGTGTCTAGCAAGGGGGGATGCCCCTTATAAAAACCATCAGGTCTCGTGATAACTATCACAAGAACAGCACGGGGAGAAACCACCCCCATGGTTCAATTACCTCACACCAGCTCCTTCCCACATATGTGGGAATTATAAGACTACAATTCAAGATGAGAGTTGCCTGGGGACACAAAGCCAAACCATATCAACCCATATTTAATGAGAGACAACAAATGGTTTCTGTATTCAAGTATTTCATAATCTGCTCAAAAAATAAGGCATATAAACAAGTACTCATATATCAACAATAAAATGAATGCTACAGAGAATATGGGTTATAGAAACTCATAGGAGAAAGGAATATACGAGGCAGACTGGTCAAATAAATGGTGGAAATTTATGATTTAACATAATCACTCTGGATTGCTAAGAAGAGATTTCAGGGAGAAAAAGTAGAGAGAGAGACCAGTAAAAAGCTTTGTTCCAAACCAGACTAAAAATTTGGTGGATTAGAACAAGGTAGCAGTAGTAATAATGGTCAAAAGTAGTTGGATTTTGTTTATATATTTTGAAGGTTACATTGACAAATTTGCTAACGGATCAGATAGGGAGTGCAATAGAAACAGATAAATCAAAGTTTGGCCCAAGTTTCTTGGCCTGAATAAATTTAAAAAAATAGAATTGCCATTTACTGATATGAGAAGACTTTAAAAAGAATCAGTTTGAGGGAAAATTCAAGAAGCTTATTGGGTGGCATGTTATGATAAAAAAATTAATATCCAAATAGTGATGTTGAGTAGATAATTGATAATATGAGTCTGAAGTGCAGTGAAGAAGTTCAGACTGAAAATACAATGTTTGGTTTCTTCAGAGTATGGTTGATAAAGTCCTAAGACTGGTGAAATTATCTAGGGAGGGAGCATACACAAAAGGAATTTCAAGATTAAGCCTGGGGGGCAATACAATGTTTTAAGGTTAGGGAAATCAGGAAGGACAACTAAAGGAATCTGAGAGTGAGTGGCCAGTAACAAGGGGGAAATTTTAAGATACAGCGATGCTCTAAGGATGATGTGAGGACAGTGGTTTAAGATGGGTGCAGGTTAAGGGATATGTACCTTTGGATTGAGAAAGTGTGGTGAGAGTACAACAACCAAAGTGGCAATGGTACTGGATGCTTCATCTAAGTAAATATTGAAGTCATCAAGAACCATGTAAGGGTGGTTCAGGAAAGGGTGGCACTGGACTAGGTGCTGAGGGAGAGTTACTGTGATATATTCAGTGACTGTATCAAGGAAGAGGAGGTGTGGGGGATTCTGATGGCATGAGCTCCAATGCTGGTATTTAGGGGAGATGGGCAATGAACAGTGCAGCGTGACAACGGTGAGGAGGTACTGGTCCAACCATTGGGCTTAGTCATCTGTGGAGCCCTGAGTATGGCAGGAGGTTTAGTATGTCTTCTCTGAGGCTTTAAATGTCTATAGCAGCAAACGAACACTCCCCTATGCATTTTCAAATACCACCTAAAGGGGTGTTATTGCCCCTGGTTATTTCCAAACCTCATTTTCTTGCCCTTTATTGGCACTGTCTCAACTATGTGATCCTTTCAAATTTGTAAAGTTCTATACATATCCACACCAAGATTATTGTTACATAGCCCCAACAGTCCCATTTTAATGGAGGTCAAGACGGCTTTCAAGAGAACCTCTTTTTTCACCCAGTGGTTTACAAGACTTCTATGTTTTTATTTACATTTTTAGGTATGGAATCCTTTGCTTAAACTAGTTACATAGAAGTACAAATGAATAAAACACATGTATTTAGTATTAGTATTTTCCATTTAAATTCTAAGAGTGTGTGTGTGTGTGTTGGTAGTTGGTGGGACAATTGGCAGAGAAAATAAAGTAGCATGTTTTAAAAATGACAACCTTAATTCAAAAGGATGAGACTCTGATAGGATACTTTCAGACCCCACATGTGTGATGACACTTATTTGTAGAAATTATCCCTTCCTGTATGTGATATTTTTTAAATTATACTGCCCAGTAGGATACCCATTCTGCCTAAACCTGCCTAAGATAATGCTAAAGGTAAATCTAAAGGAACAGGGATGTTTAACAGTTTTTTCAGGGATGTTGGTATTAAAAATATAGCCGGGCAGATCTGCTGTGTTCTTTAACCTGCCACAGTTTAGAATGACCTGAATCTGAAGTTTGCAGAACACCAAGCCGAAGTAGGGTTGTAAACGGGGATGTGGACAGGCTACTCTGAGTTTTTCCTCAGCAAGTGCTCGACTTTGGGTTTCTATGTCCATCCTTGCCAAATATAGTCCTAGCAAGAATCTTGCTAAGTCAATTTAGAGAGAATCAGCCATCCTTCACGTCTGATCACCTGGCCTGCCTTTATCAAGAATCCTGTTAAGTCCATTTAGGAAGAAGCTTCTCACCCTTGATGTCTCTTCCTAGTAATTTTCCACCCACTGATCTCCTTATGCTGCTCTTTGACTATAAATTTCTTTTTATTTTTAACTTTTATTTTAAGTTCAAGGGTACATGTGCAGGTTTGCTATATAGGTAAATTGTCTGTCGTGGGGTTTTCTGTACAGATTATTTGGTCACCCAGGTAATAAGCATAGTACCCAATAGGTAATTTATAGATCCTCACCTTCTTCCTACCCTCCACCCTCAAGCAGGCCCCAGCGTCTGTTGCTCCCTTCTTTATGTCTGTATGTACTCCAGGTTTAGCTCCCACCCATAAGTGTGGACATGCAGTATTTGGCCCTCTGTTCCTGTGTTAGTTTGCTTAGGTTAATGGCCTCCAGCTCCATCCACGTTACTGCAAAGGACACCATCTCGTTCTTTTCATGGTTGCACAGCATTCTATGGTGTGTATGCACTCCATTTGCTTTATTCAGTCCACCATTGATGGGCATTTAGGTTGATTCCATGACTTGGCTATTGTGAACAGTACTGAGATGAACACATGCATGGATGTGTCTTTATAGTAGAATGATTTATATTCCTTTGGGTATATACCTAATAGTGTGATTTCCGGGTTGAATGATAATTCTAAGTTCTTACGGAAATTGCCAAACTGCTTTTGACAATGGCTGAAGGAATTACGTTTCCCACAGTAGTGTACAAGCACTCCCTCCTCTTCATAACCTCACCAGCATCTGCTGTCTTTTGACTTTTTAATAACACTTGGCTATAAATTTCTTATTGTCCTTGTTGCATTTGGAATTGAGCTCAGTTCTAAACTGAAGTCTCTTTTCCCCTATTGCAATAGTTTCTGAATAAAATCTGTCTTTACTGCTTTAACTCATGTCTGGCCCTGGTTCTCTTTAAAAGAATGGAGGTAAGAGGTGAGGTATCTTACCTAAAATAACACCCTGCCAACTATGCACTCCCAAATCTGGTAACTTATTTCGTTCTTTACTGCAACTGTGTAAATATGTGTGCTTACGTGTGTGTATGGTGGATGGGTGTTCAGATAAATTGGAGACAATTTTATCTACTTTGTAGTATCATTACACAAATTAATAAATAATTTTATATACGTTAAACACTTAATAGACATGCAATATGCAATAAAGATTTCCTATTATTATAATGTTGTGTATGGGTAGGGCAGACAAGTAAATAAGGAAAACTGTGGTGATCATTAATAATAATTTAAGCAGGCTCATATCTTAAATTTTATAGAGCTCTGACTTTTACCAGAAATTATTTTCAGTTCTTTTTTATTGATAACAATGTTATTAAGAATAATAAATGAGGCCGGGCACAGTGGCTCACACCTGTAATTCCAGCACTTTGGAAGGCCGAGGCGGGTGGAACACTTGAGGTCAAGAGTTTGAGACCATCCTGGCCAACATAGTGAAACCCCATCTCTACTAAAAATACAAAAAATTAGCTGGGCATGGTGGCAGGCGCCTGTAATCCCAGCTACTTGGAAGGCTGAGGCAGGAGAATTGCTTGAACCTGGAAGGCGGAGGTTGCAGTGAGCCGAGATGGCGCCACTGCACTCCAGCCCAGGCGACAGTGTGAGACTCCGTCTCAAATAAATAAATAAATAAATAAATAAATAAATAAATAAATAGCTGATTTAATAATTCTCTTATGTGTTTAATGCTAAGTCTTCAGAACACTTGTAGCCCACATCATGCCTAAAATTATCCCTTGACAAACTTTGGTCTTTTTCATACTGAAAATATATAAAAGTGAAATGTATTCCATAAAATAGGCTTCCTCAGCCTCCGATCTGTCCTCCTCTTGAGGACCCTGATGCTTTAGAGATCATTTAATTTTCCTCCTCTTGAGGACCCTGATGCTTTAGAGATCATTTAATTTAGGAAACAAAATAGACACCATCACATGACTTTTCATGCATTTTCTCCTCTTTTCCCCTTCTTGTATCCCTAGGAAATGAGAAAAATGTGTAGCTATCAGGGCATGAGAGTCATTCCTCATCAAAACTCATTTTGCTTTTGATCCCTGAGGAAAAGGGAGATACTGAATTGGTTCATGGGGAAGTTGGTCAAATTCCAAAGATGGTAAGCCTGTGTGTTTTCCCATGCCATCTTGTTTCTTTTTCGTATAGTCTCTACTAGTTTTCTAAATCTTCAGAATGACATAAGATTTCTAATATCAACTTAGGTACAGCCTCCCAGGGACTGGTAAGTAAGTTGGATATATTCAGTAGCTTATTAACATCATTGGATTATCCAAAATAAATTTAAAAACAGAATTTACATAGGGCAGCAATTAGTTTACAATTGCTCTAGTAAATTAAAATGAAGAGAAAGCAAATTCATCCCCTTCTGTAGCTTGGTTTTGTTACACACCAGGATCTTCCATGCCACTCAAAGACTTTCAGCTTGTGGCAATACCCCAGAGGACTCTCAAGAGAGTTTATTGACTTAGAAGAGGCTGAAAATACTTAATTAAGTAAGCCTACTGCACCATGGCATGCCTGTGCATTCTTTAACATTTTTCCCATCAAAAGGTGGGGTCTATATTCCCTTTCTTAAATCCAGGTCAACACAGTGACTCTCTTGTTACCAATAGAATGTCACTGAAGTGATGTTGTTGAACTTCTGTGTTTAGGTCAGAAAATGCCATGCATCCTCTGCGTGGTTTTCTTGTAATACACTCTCTGTGGGAAAATAGTCACCACGTACAAAATCAAACTACTTTGGATATCCATTTAAGAAAGACTATATGCAGGCACAACTGTCGAAAGCCCTAGCAGAGCATCTAGCATTGTGAAAATGGCTAATGTGTGATTGTACTCTCATGAGAGAATATCAATTATTAAAATGCAACAAAAATGTACCCTAAATCTGCACATCAAATGTAGTTGATGAGAAAAATTCCATTTGCTATTGAGTACTTTCAAAAAATATACCAGTATCGCTAATACCTATGAATGCATTATTATATTTTCTGAGCCAAAGTGGAACAAAATTAGTCTACATAAGCTGTACTGTTGATGTTTCCAGATTACTTGAAATTTCTAAGTAATTCACTAAATATAAGAGGATCATCAGAGTTCAAGGCAGAAGTCAAATTTTATTTCATATTTTGAATTCATTTGATATATATGATTCTATATCATAGAATTCCCGTCAAATGCATTCATTCTCAAGGAAAATCTTTGTTGAAAGCTAAAAAGGTCTATTTTTTCAAGATTGTTTTAAAAATTAACACTTGATGTATTAGTTCGTTCTCACAATGCTAGCAAAAACTACCTGAGATGATAATTTATAAAGAAAAGAGCTTTAATTGACTCTCAGTTCCACAGGCTGTACAGAAAGCCGGGAGGCCTCAGGAAACTTACAATCATGGCAAAAGGGCAAAGAGAAGCAAGCATGTCTTCACATGGCGGTGAGAGAGAGAGAGAAGGAGAGAGTGCCGCATACTTTTAAACAACTAGATATGGTGAGACCTCACTCACTATCATGAGAACATCAAGGGTGAAATCCACCCCCATGATCCAATCACCTCCCACCAGGTCCCTCCCCCAACAATGGGAATTACAATTCAACATGAGATTTGGGTGGGGACACAGAGCTAAACCATATCACTTGCAAACACTTGAATAAAAGATAAAAACTGCTTCTAATTTCAATCAAGTGCCTAACAATATGTTAAAAATATTAATTAAAATGAACTCAGTCATTAATGAACTCAGTCATTAAGTATAAAGCAGAATTGTTGCTTCTATTTTGTTTATTCCATACCAATATATTGCCATACTTCCTTCCTTTACTATCTTTTTAAAAAAATCCTAGGGCATAAGAAAGCAGCCCTTATTACATTAGAAACTGAATTATACATCATATACTTTTTGGTAGTATCCATAACCAAATTACCATAAATACATTAAGAACATCAAGATGCACAGTGACAATACAAAATTAAGCCAAATGGAAGTCTGAAAATATTAATTTGTAATTGCCTTATTGTTCTCTAAAGGCCTAGGGAATGTAGAAAGATAATCTGGAAATCAACTTGGAATTGGATTGAGAAAAAAATGAATAAATGTGAGGGAATAAAGAAAGTGAGAATTGTGATTCTGATTTATTACTGGGAGAAGGCTGAGATTTAATTTAATATTGTCACTTTTATCACAGGAAGTGGCATGTTAACCATATTAACTGTAAACTATTAACAATAGTATTACTACTAATACAGTAGAGTTAATAAAAATTAGGATAATATTATCCCCAAAATTGGAAGAAAGAGTTATACTGGCATCGGAATCCAATTGTATGTTCGGTAGAATATGACATGCCCCTGTTCTTCCTTATCTTTTTTCTGATCCTAAATATGGGCCTGTGGTCTATGTCTCTGCAGAGAGAATTTCCACTCCGATTTAAAGAGAAAGTAGACTAATTATATATATTTTTTCCAATTTAGACAGAAATAATCATGATAACATTCTTGCAGAAAACTCATACATTCCACTTTAGACCTTTATTGAAAGTTTTCTTTTGTGGGTGTCATTCAGAATTTTGAGACTTCATGATTATATTGTTATAACTGATGATTGAATTACTTAATTGTATCTGTCAAAAGCAATGAGGCAATGGAGAAAGGAACTTGTGTTATTTTTAATGGAAATAATTTGTTTGCTTTATTTCATCAAATTACATGCAGGATAATATTACAGGATGATTAATTAACAAGGACACAAACTAATAGCTTAATAACTCTGAATTCCATGGGTTTTTCTACAGCCAAGAAAAAATGAAGATGATTTTATTTATTTTTTTTTTGAGATGGAGTCTTGCTCTGTCACCCAGGCTGGGGTGCAGTGGCACGATCTCAGCTCACTGCAAGCTCCGCCTCCTGGGTTCATGCCATTCTCCTGCCTCAGCCTCCCGAGTAGCTGGGACTACAGGCGTCCGCCACCACGGCCGGCTAATTTTTTGTATTTTTAGTAGAGACGGGGTTTCACCGTGTTAGCCGGGATGGTCTCAATCTCCTGACCTCGTGATCCAACTGCTTCGGCCTCCCAAAGTGGATGATTTTATTTTTAAAGGCTCATACAAGTTATGAAATCAGTTAAATATATTATATTTTAGGTAGAGTTTATCTGATATGTTTAGTTAATTTTCACCTACATGGGAAATTTGCAATGCAGAACGTCTAAAATAGACTCCCAGTAGCAAATGCTCTGGTTAAACTCCAATGTTATGTTGGTCAGGTCAACATACAGAACTAGATGAAGGAAAATTGATTTCCTAGCCAAGAGGCAAATTGATCAGAGTAGACAAGTTAGGATAATACAACCTATTGCCTCCCAAATAAGTAGAAACTCATTTTTGCACTCCTAATTGCACAGGGGAGATTTTAAACCTGGCCAAACTAGGAAAAGTCATGCAGAACATTTAATCAATTAGTAAAGGAGCTGAGTTTTCATTCATGGCCATAACTGTGTTTCTTTGGAGAAGATTAACCCATTTAAAGGTCCTCTTGATTACAATAAACAACTTATCTTTAAAAGATTCCATACATACAGATATAATAGTTTTAACCAATGAATAAGGATAAGAATTGTCACAACATAACTTCACATGACTGCTCTTTTAAAAGTGTTTTTAAAAGTTTTATAAAATCTTCGATTAGAAGTAGTAATTAATTATATATGCCAGAATTCCCCAGAAACCCAGGAAATATATCAAGGCTGTCTTTTCTTGTCTAAGTATGCTCCAAGGCAAATTTATATTCAATAATTACTGAACGTATCACCAATTTATTTGCTACTTATTGTAGAAAACAAAATGCTTGAGGAATCTCATTCTTTCTAAGTATACTTATTGAGCATCTCTTATGTTTTGATGCTCTGCTGGTTGTTGGGGATACAATGGTTGAACAAGATGGTTATAATTGCTGCCCTTATTGAACTCAGGCTAATGGGGATAGCAGATATTGCAAAATTAAAGATAACACCACAAAGCAGTATTAAAGAGAACAACAGTGTGATGTTGTTCGAGGAACATACGTATTCCTCACTTTCTAGTATGTTTCCAGAAAGAAATGACATTTAGATTAAGACCTGAGGAATAAGTAGAAGTGTTTAAATCAATGCATGTGGTGGCATTGTGATGTTCTCCCCAGATCCCTTTTCATGAATGAAGGACTTGGATCTTTAGCTGGCAAAAATGAAGCTGGCTGACAGCATCAAGCTGTCAGGCCCCTTCATAAATTAGATAAATCTTTGGACAAAGAGAGTTGCTTTACCGAAATTTTTCAATTTGGATGCCCTTACTTTTTTCTTTTGCCTGATTGCTCTGGCTAGGACTTTCAGTACTATGTTGAACAGGAGTGGTGAGAGTGGGCATCCTTGTCTTTTGCTAGTTCTTACAGGGAATGCTCTCAACTTTTCCCTATTAAGTATGATGTTGGCTGTGGGTTTGCCATATATGACTTCTATTCTTTTGAGATATGTTACTTCAATGCCTAGTTTGTTGAAGGTTTTTATCATTAATGAATGTTGGATTTTATCAAAAGCTTTTTCTGCATCTCCTCAGATGGTCATATGGATTTTGTTTCTAACTCTGCTTATGTGGTGAATCACATTCATTGATTTGTGAATGTTGAACCACTATTGCATCCCTGGAATAAAACCTACTTTATGTGATAAATTATCTTTTTGATGTGCTATTGAATTAGATTTGCTGATATTTTGTTGAGGATTTTTGTATCTACGTTCATCAGAGATGTTGGCCTGTAGTTTTCTTTTTCTGTTGGTGTCCTTGCCTGTTACCAGAGTTACACTGATTTTATAGAATTAATTAGGGAGGAATTCCTCCTCCTTGATTTTTGGAATAATTTCAGTAAAATTGGTACCAGTTCTTCTTTGTATATATAGTAAAATTCAGCTGTGAATGGAAGATATTTTATTACTGATTCAATTTCATTACTTATTATTGGTATGTTTAGGATTTTTTTCTTCCTGGTTCAATGTCAGGAGATTGTATGTTTCCAGAAATTTATCCCCTTTTTCTAGGTATACAGTGTTAATAAAGTCTACAGTAGTATATAGTAATATCCTAGACCTTCACATTCACTCACAACTCACTCACTGATTCACCTAGAGCAACTTCTAGTCTTACAGGCTCCATTCATTATAAGCACTTTATACAGGTGTACCATTTTTATCTTTCATGTCATATTTTTACTGTACCTTGTCTATGTTTAAATGTGTTTAGATACACAACTACTTACCCTTGTGTGACAACTGTTTACACTATTCAATTCAGTAACATGCTATACAGTTTTATAGCCTGGGAGCAATAGGCCATATCATATAGCCTAGCTGTGTAACAGGCCATAACATCTAGTTTTGTGCAAGTACACTCTATGATGTTTATACAATGATGAGGTTGCCTAATAATGCATCTATCCCCATTGTTAAGTTATGCATGACTGTACGAATTTCAAACAAAATGCAGTATTAGATGCTCTCGGACTATAAAAGATAATAATTAAAGTACAAAGAGAAATACTGTTTATTGCTAAGGAGTACATCTCTAACTGGCTGGGGCTATAAGACAGATATATTAAAAGTAGAGAAATAAATCTTTGTTTTAGATATAATGAAATATGTGTATTCAACCCTGTTCTTCAACTAAATGCAATAAAAAGTACCAAATTGATGAAATAGCTAATGAAATACTCTGAAAAGTAATTGTAGCAAGCAGGTTCATTTAGGAAACTGGAACTCAAAGTAATGCTGATTCAATGATGAGTTTCCTATATTTGCTTTTTTTCTCTATTATGCCCAGGCCTGGAATCAAATATAACTCAAACCCCAGAACTGAGCACCATTTGCGAACAGAAAAGATTCAAGAGATTTCTTATTTATCTTACTTGAGAACTGTACAACAGTCTCACTAAAGGTCAGAGCTAGTGAGGAAAAATGCCAGTTTTATTTTATTTTTTTCCCCAATCTTTTCTACCCAGGAAGGCAATCTCAAGGCAGCAAAAGATGTGTCAATGATAAAATTAGGGGCACTGAATAGGCCCTAAATTCCACAGGAAGGGAATTTCCAGGGGAAATGTAATACAAAAATCGTGAAGAGACTCTTCGTAGCTTTTCCCTGTCTCTGTCATCTCATTCCTTGGCAACAGAGATAGATAAAACCATTAGAAGTACATAACCAAACTCCAGTTTTTAGTGAGACATCCACAGCAGAGGGACATTGGGATCTGGCATGTATTAAGGAGAAGAGCACAAGGAAAAACCTCAACAAAGCTATAGCATGAAATTGAGTGTGAACTCAAGAACTCACTAACAAACTTCTCATGTGTCAATCTGATAATAAATATCATATCAAAAGCTTTTCAAATTGAACTAGGGGATAGACCACCAGCCAGGCTGTAGACTGTCCACCAGTTGTCACATAAAATGAAAGAACACTGCAAACACATTAAAAATGAACTGAAATTAGAATGATCAGTACGCAGAAGACAGGTTAGAAATTTCAGTCTTTTTTTTTTTTTTTTTTTTTGAGACGGTGTCTAGCTCTGTCACCCAGGCTGGAGTGCGGTGGCGTGATCTCGGCTCACTGCAAGCTCCGCCTCCCGGGTTCACACCATTCTCCTGCCTCAGCCTCCCAAGTAGCTGGGACTACAGGCGCCTGCCACCACGCACAGCTAATTTTCTGTATTTTTAGTCGAGACGGGGTTTCACCGTGTTAGCCAGGATGGTCTCGATCTCCTGACCTCGTGATCCGCCCGCCTCGGCCTCCCAAAGTGCTGGGATTACAGGCGTGAGCCACCGCACCCGGCCCCCAGTCTGTTCTTAAATGAGATGATTGTCTGCTGAAACAGAAAAGACAACAACAACAAACATTTTCTTTAGGAATAAAACAAAATATAACATAGTATTCAAAATACTGAGGATAAAATTCAAAATCATTTGACATACAAAGAATTAGAAAAATTTTAAAAATTTTCAAGGGAAAAGATAACTAAAAGAAGCCAATACTGAAATGAAACTGATCTCACAAAAGGCTTTAAAGTAACTACTCTAACTGTATTGTAAGAAGTTAGATAAGTCACTCTTGAAATGAATGTAAAGGCAGCACATATCAACATGCAAATAGAAATAAAACAAAATAACTGAAATATAAATTCACTTGAGGGCTGGGAGTGGTGGCTCAGGCCTGTAATCCCAGCACTTTGCAAGGCCAAGGCAGGCGGATCACGAGGTCAGGAGATCGAGACCATCCTGGCTAACACAGCGAAACCCTATCTCTACTAAAAATACAAAAAATTAGCCTGATGTGGTGGTGGGCACCTGTAGTCCCAGCTACTTGGGAGGCTGAGGCAGGAGAATGGAATGAACCCGGGAGGTGGAGCTTGCAGTGAGCCAAGATTGTGCCACTGCCACTCCAGCCTGGGTGACAGTGCGAGACTCCGTCTCAAAAAAATAAAATAAAATAAAATAAAATAAAATAAAATAAAATAAAATAAAATAAATTCACTGGAATTTCTCAAGAACAGAGCATAAGTGACAGAATGAAGAGCCAGTGAACTTGAAGATAAATCAATAGCAAGCATCCAATTCGAACAACAGAGAAAAAAAGATACAAAAAATAAAGAGTTTTTACAACATGTGGGACAACATAAAAAGGTATAAGAGTTGTGTCATTAGCATTCTAGGAGAAGGGGATAACGAGTGGTTCTGAAAACATATTTGTAGAAGTAATGCCTGAAATTTTTTCAAATTTGGGGAAATATTTTAAAGAATGCATATTCCAGAATGTAACATCTCAAGAAACTCATGCCCAGGAAACCACAAAAAATATACAGTAAGAAACATATATATATATATATATATATGTATGTGGACATATATGAAATGCAATAGATAAAATAAAATGGCATGCTACAATATTCAAATAATACCAAAAAAAGGGAGAAAATTGGAAATACAGAAAGAAGAAGAAAAGGAAGAAAAGTTAAATTAGGAAGAGAAGAAGAGGAAGAAAAACAAGACCAAGAAGAAGAAGAACAACAACAACAATAACAACAACAGCAAACCCACGTGAGGGAACAAAAAATAAATATTAAAATGGTAGCCCTACTGGGCACAGTGGCTCACACCTGTAATCCCAACACTTTGGGAAGCTGAGGCGATGGAGCATTTGAGGCCAGGAGTTCGAGACCAGCCTGGCCGACACGGTGAAACCCCATCTCTACTAAAAATACAAAAATTAGCTGGGCATGGTGTCTGGCGCCTGCAATCCCAGCTACTTGGGAGGCTGAGGCAGGAGAATCGCTTGAACCCAGGAAGCAGAAGTTGCAGTTAGCCAAGACTGCACCATTGCACTACAGCCTGGGTGAAAAGAACAAAACTCCGTCTCAAAAAAAAGTAGCCCTGAATAATCAATAAAATTTCAATAAGGGTATATATAAACTGAAAAGATTGGCAAAGACTTGTACACCGAAAACAAGAAAATATCACTGAAATAAATTAAAGAAGGCACAAATAAATGAAAACACATTCTGTTATCATAGATTGGAAGATTTAATTTTGTTATGATGAAAATGCCACACAAAGGAATCTACAGATTCAATGTAACCCTTATCAAAAATCCCAATAATGTTCTTGCAAAAATAGAAAACCCATCCTAAAATTCATATAGAATCATAAGGGACCCCAAATAACCAAAGCATTCTTGAAAAAGAAGAATGAAGTTTAAGGATTCACATTTCCCGATTTTAAAATATTATTCCAATTTTATCATTACACAAACATATATCAAAACATCACACTATACCACCATAAATAGGTAACACTATTTCATGTCAGTTAAAAACAAAATAAGACTTTAAAAAATTAATTACAAAATTACATTAATCAAAACAGAGTGGTATTGGCATAAAGAAAGTCACACAGATCAATGGAATAGAATAAAGAGCCAGCCTGGAAATAAACCCTAACATGTCAAATGATTTTCGAGAAACATGCCAGCACCATAAGATAAAGAAAATGCAGTCTTCTTATAGATGATTTTGGAAAAACTAGATATCCACATGCAAAAGAGTAAAGTTAAATTCATACTTTATATCATATACAAAAATTAACTAAAAATAGATCAAAGACATAAACAAGACATAAAACCATAAAACCCTTAGAAGGAAACTTTCGTGACAATGAATTTGGCAATGATTTCTTGAATATGACACCAAAAGCACACACAACATAAAAAGAAAAAGAGTAATTTGGATGTCTCAAAATTTAAAAATTTGTAACTCAAAGCACACTAACAAGAGAGTAAAAATCTACAAATACCTTAGAAAATAAATAACACACTGTATATAATCTGCCCATCAAACAAAAATTGTCAAGATACATTTCTGTCGCCTAGGCTGGAGTGCAGTGGCGCAATCTCGGCTCACTGCAACCTCTGCTGCCTGGGTTCAAGCAATTCTCCTGCCTCAGCCTCCTGAGTAGCTGGGATTACAGGCACCTGCCACCACACCCAGCTAATTTTTGTATTTTTAGTAGAGACGGGGGTTTCACCATCTTGGCCAGGCTGGTCTTGAATTCCTGACCTCGTGATCCACCCGCCTCGGCCTCCCAAAATGCTGGGATTACAGGATTACAGGCGTGAGCCACTGGCGCCCAGCCCCATGAATCCTAACTTATTATTTAAATAAATGCAAATACATTAAAAACTCTAAAAGTCGGAGATTGGCAGAATTGATTTTTTTCTTTTTTTTTAAACTTTTATTTTAAGTTCAAGGGTACATGTGCAGGTTTGTTACATAGGTAAATGTGTGTCACAGGGATTTGTTGTGCAGATTAATTCATCACCCAGGTATAAAGGTCAGTACCCTCTCCCTCCTCCCAGACTCCACCCTCCAGTAGGCCCCATTGTGTGTAGTTCCCCCTATGTGTCCATATGTTCTCATCATTGGGCTCCCAGTTATAAGTGAGAACATGTAGTATTTCATTTTCTGTTCCAGTGTTAGTTTGCTAGCGATAATGGTCTGTAGCTCCATCCATGTCCCTGCAAAGGACATGATCTCATTCTTTTTCTATGGCTGCATAATATTCCATGATGAATATGTACCATATTTTCTTTATCCAGTCTATCATTAGTAGGCATTTAGATTGATTCCATGTCTTTGCTGTTGTAAATAGTGCTGTAGTGAACATATGCATACATGTGTCCTTATAATAGAATGATTTATATTCCTTTGGGTATATACCCAGTAATGGGTATGATGAATTGAATGGTATTTCTGTCTTTAGGTCCTTGGGGAATTGCCACACTGGCTTCCACAATGACTGAACTAATATACAGTCCCAACAACAGTGTATAAGCACTCCTTTTTCTCCACAACCTTGTCAGCATCTGTTATTTTTTGACTTTTTAATAATAGCCATTCTGACTAATGGGAGACAGTATCTCATTGTGGTTCTACCATAAAGACACATGCATGTATGTGTTCATAGCAGCACTATTCACAATAGCAACAATGTCAAATCAACCTAAATGCCCATCAATGGTAGCCTGGACAAAGAAAATGTGGTAATATACACCACGGAATACTATGCAGCCATAAAAAGAATGTGATCGTGTCTTTGAAGGATCATGAATGGAACTGGATGCTGTTATTCTTAGCAAACTAATGCAGGAACACAAAACCATATACCACATGTTCTCATAAGTGGGAGCTGAAAGTTGAGAAGACATGAACACATAGAGGGGAACAACACACACTGGGGCCTATTGGCAAGTGGAAGGTGAATGGGAGGAGAGAGAGGATGAGACAAAATAACTAATGGGTACTAGGCTTAATGCCTCGGGGGCAAAATAATCTGTATAGCAAACCCCCATGACACAAGTTTACCTATAGCAAACATGCACCTGTATCCCTGAAGTTAAAAGTTAAATTATTTTTAAAAAGTAAATTTATGACAATCAAGTAGGCTCTATTCCTGGGATGCAAGGCTGGTTCAACATACACAAATAAATACATATGATTCACCACATAAACAGAATTAAAAACAAAAACCATGTGATCATCTCAATATACGGAGAAAAAGCTTTTGATAAAATCCAGCATAGCTTCATGATAAAAACTCTCAACAAACTAGGAATTGAAGGAACATATCTCAAAATAATAAGAGCATCTATGACAAACCTACAGCCAACATCATATGGAGTGGGCAAAAGCTGGAAGCATGCCCCTTGAGAACAGGAAGGAAAGGATACCCACTTTGACCACTCCTATTCAATATAGTGCTGGATGTACTAGACAGAGCAGCCAGGCAAAAGAAAAAAAAATAAAAGGCATCCAAACAAGAAGAGAAAAGGGAAAACTATCTCTCTTCACAGATGATATGATACTATACCTAGAAAACCCCATAGTCTCTGCCCAAAGGCTCCTAGAACTGATAAAAAAAAAAAAAAAGAAAAAAAAAAAACTTTAGTAAAGTTTCAGAATACAAAATAAGTGTACAAAAACCAGTAGCATATCTATATACCAATATTTTCCAAGCTAGGAGCCAAATAAAGAATGCAATCTCATTCATAATAACCACAAAAAAATGAAATACCTAGGAGTACAACTAACCAAGAAGATGACAAATATCTACAAGGAGAGCTACAAAACACTGCTGAAAGAAGTCACAGACAACACAAAGAAATGGGCAAACATTCCATGTTCATATTTAAGAAGAATCAATATCATTAAAATAGTCATTCTGCCCTAAGCAATCTATAAATTTAAGACTATTCTTTTCAAACTACCAATGTCATTTTTCACAGAATTAGAAAACTATTTTATAATATTTCAAGTTCCTGATCTTTCGATGGGGAGTTTTGTTTTCACATTATTTGATGCCCTTGTGGGTTTAATTGTAGCATAAGTTAGGTTTAGTAGATTGGCTTTGTTTCTGGATTCTTTCAGGGGACCAAGACTCAGCTCAGTACTCCTGGGCTGCATGCTCTAACCTTAGGGTCTTGAACCAGCCCCATGACTTTGTTCTTCCGCCCCTCAAAGTCAAGCACCTACCGTGCTGGAGGGGCTGAGGTGTTTCCAGTCTCTGGTAATGACAGTCTGATGGGGACTGCCTGAAAATGCGCTCTGGCAGGGCAGCAGAGTGTCCACGGGAGAGTGCACTGCGGCAGGGTGGCCATGGACAAGTGCACACAAGCAAGGTGGCAGGGGATAGGGGGGTGGCCACAGGTGGCAGGGGTTGTGGGCGGGGAAGCTGCAGGTAAGTGCACATCTACAGGGCAGCAGAGAAGTCACGGGCAGGTATGCAGAGGTGGGGCACCATAAGCACATGCATACCAGTGGGGCAGCATTGGGTCCCAATGCCCATATGCACCTACAAAATGGTGGGGAGAGGCTACAGGTGGATGCATATTGTGGTGGTAGTTACAGGAATTTGTAACTGTTTTAAAACTCAGAAATCTACTACAAATAGTAAGTAAACACATACATGCATGCATGCATACATACATATATTTAAAAAGTCCATTTTCTTTTATTAAATTAAAAATAAACAACTTTTTGGTTTACATAAGTGATATACAAGTTTAAGGCATGAGAGGAATCTCTGGCTTTGAACTGGTCAGATAACATTTTGCTGGTATTATAAAATAGGATGGGACCCTTGAAAAAGAGAATTTAAATAGGTAAAGAGGTGGCAAGAAGGGCATTTTAGGAGCCTAAAGAAAATAAAGACAGCTGCAAAGGATGGATGTGCAGCACAGGCTCTGGAAATAGTGACTCTTTGCATAAGACTGACGCAGAGGATTTGTTTTAGACAGGAGGCAGTAACCTGGAAAGTCTGAGGGGACTAGGACTGTGTTCAGCATGTATCATTGACTTGCTACTCTTTGTGTGCAGCTGGGAAACACTGAATACTTTTAATAAAATAAGTGATGTGGTTATAACAACATATTAGGGATATTAGCTTTAATGCACTCTATAAGGTGGATTGAAAGTAAGAGAGACTAATGGGGAGTTGATTATGTTAACTCAACAAGAAAAGCGTCCAAGCTAAAACGACAGCAGTGTGATTGAAATATATAAAAAACTAGACTCGCAAATTATTTCAATATTGGATATAATTTCAAAAACATAATTTCTCACGACTTATTTTCAACTGTTCTTTCCTAATATTTCAAGGTGAACAAAATGTTTCCAGCATGTTTTCTGAGGATTGATTATTGATGAAACCAGTTGAAAATATTTTCCTAAACCTGAAAAACGCCTTTGAATGCATTAAAGGAATTTAGATTTAAAATAAGAATCCAATGATTTGCAATATTTCTGATGTGATTAATTTGCCAGAAATGGTTTCATGACATTATTAAAACATTCGAGATGGCCTGTACTATCAAAGGTGAAAGTTTCAAGTATAATAGGAAATCATGTATTTCATTGCTTGTTAATTTTAATGTAAGCTCATAGAATGCATTTATACGTACCCAGTGCCTTTATAAAGTTCATTTCTATGTAAATATAGGAATATCATAAGCTATCATGAAGCACAGACAGGCAAGTCATGCCAAAACCATTCTTATGGCAGCTATAAAATGAAGAAAACCAATAAAGCTAAGTGTTTCCCTCTCAAATCTTTACTTCTCTCATCTTGTCCAGCATTAGTGTGTGGGATGTATTAAATCTAACCTGGAGATATCCACCCACCTTATTTTTCCACCCATCAAAGTTTAGCAGTTTGTGTTGAATGGACACAAATAACCCTCTTTATGGAGCAATCTGACCTATTCAAACAAAAATATATCATTCCTCCTAGCCCATGGTGAAGAAAATTAAAGTAATCAATACTAATCTCTAGTCAGTATTTCAAATAAAATAACAGGTAGCATTTATATTCAACCAAAGTGTATTTAAAATATAATACACCTGTGCATACAAGAGAGGCTTGAGGTGGTATTGTCATGTATCATATGGTATTGCAAGCATAATAAAGATAGTTGTGGCAGAGGAGCAGGAAAGTAACATAGAAAATGGAATAAAGGTATTACCCATTCATCTCTGCTTCGTTAAAGCATTTCACACTCTAGAACCTTTAAATCTTACTGACAATTTTCAATGTACGTTAAAAAGTAAAATGCACTGGGGATGTCCATTGAAAACTAAGAGAAAGATTCTTCTACACAATCAATATATAGTTATTTCCTTTGTCTCCCACTTTTTTTTGGTTTTCACTTTGCAGACACTATATTTTCTTTATTTTGATGAATATACTAAATATCTAAAGTTTGAGCAGAGAAGCAATGCTGCTCTGGCTTAAGCAGCAAAAGATGACCTAATAGGATATTCCATCTTAAATTTTGTTTCACAGTTGAGCATGAATTGCATTCTGAAAACTGGGCTACATAATTTGATTATTACATTCCTTAATGTGTCAGTCTAAAATCAATAATAGAGGACTTGAAGAAGCCCAGTCTTTCTTTTTTTTTTCTTTTTTTTTTTTGAGACGGAGTCTCGCTCTGTCTGTCGCCCAGGCTGGAGTGCAGTGGCGCAATCTTGGCTCACTGCAAGCTCCGCCTTCCGGGTTCACGCCATTCTCCTGCCTCAGCCTCCCAAGTAGCTGGGAATACAGGCGTCCGCCACCACACCCGGCTAATTTTTTATATTTTTAGTAGATACAGGGTTGCACTGTGTTAGCCAGGATGGTCTCTATCTCCTGACCTCGTGATCCACCCGCCTCAGCCTCCCAAAGTGCTGGGATTACAGGTGTGAGGCACCGCAAGAAGCCCAGTTTATGTCAATGACACCACCTGCTTTAAACTCAATGGAGACCAACATCACAGGAAAGTTTCAGATCCTATCTATGATGTACTCTATTGTGACTTGAGACACTGAGCAAAATAAGAAATGTGTAAAAACATGCTCTTCAGAAAAACAAAGAGAACAATAGCATGTTAAGTCAATATCCAACATAAAAATGTAAACCTTGAGGTTTTGACACAGCCACTGAAGCTTTCAATTCTCAAAAAAAAAAAATGGAGAGGCTGTGAATTAGATTACAGAAATAATTTGTATGGTACATTTTATATTGTTATTTTTCTTTTGGGGTAATCATTTTGCAGGACATCTTGTCTAGTCTCTATTTGTTTACTAAGAACTGGAAGCTTGTATCTAATGGACCATGCAACTTTACTATAATAGGTAGACAGTATTTTATAAAGAATTTGAAGAATGATTTGGAAAATAAGCCCAGTGTTAATATAATAGGCATGATTCTTGGGGGTTTTATGTTCAATATGGCAAACTGTAAAATAGTCATTTTAACTGTTTCATTTTTTCACATACAAAATGTATGTTTTTGTGAACACCTGCAAAGCCTCAAAACATTGCTTGAGGAACTTCTATTTTTTAATTAGATTATAATCATCAGTGACCACAGACACACTATTAACATCACTCAAATTTGCTAAAAGTGACAAAAGTATAGCCCGGTATACAAGATGGAAAAACATTTTTTAGGTAAATTTGGTGGTTATGGAAGAGGGAAAAAAGGAATATACTTTGGTGTTACCGGCTGCTGAGCTGACAGCTTCCCGCAACAGCTTTTTAGAGACATTTTTTCTAAGTTCACATTTCTTTGTGGGCATTCACACACGCACCAGTGACACACTGAGCCCCAGAAATGGACAGTAATCTGTAATAGCAAAGCTGTATGGATTCAAGGGGAAGCTGCAACAACCTGTTTGGGCTCATATGCAAACAACAGTGTCTTCTCCTTCTGATCTGTTATGGACAATTACCACAAAAAGAACTCTCACCTGGGTATCGGTTTGGGTTTTGTGACTTTGTATGTGGGATCTGAAAGTCCAACGTCTGGAGACAGAGAGTAGAAAAGTGGTTGCCAGGGGCTGGGAGTAGAGGAAATGGGAATAGGTTGGTTAAAGGGCACAAACTTTCAATTATAAGATAAACAAGTTCTGGGAATCTAACTTATAGCATGGGTAGTGATGGATGTGTTGATTTGAGTGCGATAATAATTACACACTGTATACATATATGAGATCATCATACCATACAAATCTTCATTTGTCCATTAAATATTTAAAAATTAAAAAAATGTTTCAGGTGCTGGCTCAGCTTATCCAGGTATTTAAGTTCTACCAAGATGTCTCATCACATTTTTTTTTTTTTTCTGGAGATGGAGTCTTGCTCTGTCGCCCAGGGAGTGCAGTGGCGCGATCTCAGCTCACTGCAAGCTCCACCTCCCGGGTTCACATCATTCTCCTGCCTCAACCTCCCGAGTAGCTGGGACTACAGGTGCCCACCACCATGCCCAGCTAATTTTTTGTATTTTTAGTAGAGACGGGGTTTTACTGTGTTAGCCAGAATGGTCTCGATCTCCTGACCTTGTGATCCACCTGTCTCGGCCTCCCAAAGTGCTGGGATTACAGGCATGAGCCACTGTGCCCGGCCCTCATCACATCTTTTAAACCACACTTAAAGGGTTACCCCATCACAATAACATTTTGTGGTCTTTGTGGTTTCTGAGTTTCTGTGGGTAAACTGCGAATTACATAGTCCGTGAGGAACTAGAATTTGAGGTTAGACACATCTGGATTGAATAGATTTGCCACTTCCTATATCTACGCACCCTTGGACAAGTTGCATAATTCCTCAAAGTTTCTGTTGACTCACGTTATTTATATCACAGATTTACTATAAGATTAAGTAACATATGTAAAGGACATTATACAATGTTTGACACATAGCAATTCTCTAGATATGTTAGGTTGCTTTCTTTTTGATATATGTTCTAGTACACAAAAGCAAAATAAGCCAAATTTTAAGTAAACGAAAAACCTAATTTCTGAAATATATAAGCAATATAATTTGTGTATCAGTGAATCAAGTCATGAGTTTCACATCAATCCCAAGTTACATTAATCATAACATTATTTGTTATTACAGTTATTAATCGTAACAAGCAACATTACATTACTTGTTAATTATAACAAGAGTAACACTTTTGTTATGATTAGGATGGCTTTGCAAGTAAATGCTTTCCTTAGCTACCTCTTTTTTCTCTCTTTCTTTCTCTCTCTCTTTCCCCTTCCTTCTTTCTCCCTCGTCCCTTCCTTTTCTTCCTTCCTTCTTTCCTTCCTTCTTTCTCCTTCCTTCCTTCTCCCTCCTTCCTTCCTTCTTTCTTCCTTCTTTCTCCTTCCTTCCTTCCCTCCTCTCCCTCTCTTTCTTTCGTGTCTTAAAATTGAGGTGGGTTTTACATCCTCTGAAAGGACATTTTTCATGCTACTTCCCAATCATTCTACCCATGACAAGCCTTTTCTTCTTATATCTAATACCATGGGTTACTTTGGCCTGTTCTAGAACTTTATATAAATGTAATCATACAGTATGCATTATTTTGTGTCTATATTTTCACTCAGCACAAAATGAGATTCATCCATACTGATTTACATATCACTAGTTTATTTTTATTGGAGAGTGGTACTCAATTGTACAAATATATCATAGTGTGTTTATCCATTCCCTTCCATTTTTTGTTGTTGTTGTTTTTGAGACAGTCTCGCTCTGTCACCCAGGCTGGAATGCAGTGGCACGATCTTGGCTCACTGCAACCTCCGCCTCCCGTGTTCAAGTGATTCTCCTACTTCAGCCTCCTGAGTAGCTGGGATTACAGGCACCCGCCACCAAGCCTGGCTAATTTTTGTATTTTTAGTAGAGGCGGGGTTTCACCATTTTGGCCAGGCTGGTCTTGAACTCCTAACCTCGTGATCCACCCCCCTCGGCTTCCCAAAGTGCTGGGATTACAGGTGTGAGCCACCGCGTCTGGCCATTCCCTTCCATTTTTGCACTTATTTTTTGCTAGTGTTTTAGTTTGGAAATTACTATAGATCACTCTTGAGCAGATGAAAAGTTTCAGGGAAAGTTAACATAATTAGTAATTCAGAATATCCCCCAAGATAAATGATATGTATTATTTCTTAAACTTTTTAAAATTTATAGAGCAATGGTCAGAAATCTACAGGCTATGAGTCAAATCTGGCACTTCACATGTTTTTGTAAATAAAATTTCATAGAAACACAACCTTCCCTATTCATCTATAAATAATTTAAGTCTTCTTTCATGTTACCATGGCAGAGTTGAGTAGTTACGACAAAAAAGTATGATTCTAAAAAATGTCTATTTGGTTCTTTACAGAAAAAGTTTTCCAACCCCTGTCCTAGAATAATTATCAGACTGATTAATGCTATCTGACCTCTACAAGCCCATCAAAATATCTTCAGTGAGTTTGTTACAGCTGGTTAGACAGGCATGAGTGGGATGGGAAAGGGCTTTCATCCCACCTCCCACCCCCCACCCACTAGGAATATCAGGAGATCATCAGGTGATGGTTCAGCAGCTATCACATTGCTTCTCTAAAATTGATAATTTGGCAGCCAGTGCCAGAGAGAGACAATCTCCTGATGGTCCACACCTGTCACACTAAAGTGTTATTTGAAAGCAGGCTCCAGAAAGAGGCAACTTCCCAAACAGATAAAAATACTTGAGATTGGTAATCAGCTTCCAATAAAATCTCAGGTATTGGGCTAGTGGGACCGGGTATGTGCATTGAGAGACAAAATGGCAGAGCATGACCTTCCGCAGGTATTCCACTGGTAAAGGGAAGAAAGCTTCAGATGGGCATGTGAACAATTCCTAAACACACTACGCATGCTCACTTCCCAAGCCTAAGAAGAGCACTGTGCATGTGGGCAGCTCACCCAAAGGAATGAATCATGGGAAAGGCGCGCAAGATGCCAGGTGTGGGCCAGCATATAAAGTCCTAGGATCTGTCCTTCAAGTTGCCCGCTTGGGTCTCTTCTAAGTGTACTCTCCTTTCTTTTCTGCTCTAAAGCTTTTTAATAAACTTCCACTCCTGCTCTGAAACTTGCTTTGGTGTCTTTTTTTGCCTTATGCCCCTCGGTCAAATTCTTTCTTCCGAGGAGGCAAGAATTGAGGTTGATGCAGACCTGTAGGGATTTGCTGCTGGTAACTCTGATACCTTCTACCCCTAACAAGTTAAGATATAATAGTAGGCAATGGGGATCATATTGCTCTATTTTTTATTTAAAAAGAAACACATCATTTTAGAGGTTTGGAAGTTATCGCACAGTACAATGCACCTCAAAATGCTTAAAATTGAAAAAATTATCTAGAATTTATCAAAAGGATACATTTGTTTTGAAGCCATGGCGCATTTTCTTTTACCAAACCTTGAGAATATCTAATGCATAGTATTTTCTTTTCTGCATTGTCAGCCAAGAATAAATACTCTACGCTAAGCTTTTGTTATAATTTTTTTTTATGTTTTCATAATTTTGAACGATTACTTTTATATTTGCATGTGTTATTTAAGTGTTTCTCTTCCAGTGAACCAAATCAAATGCATTTGAAACAAGGAATGGCAGAAGTAAATATGTCAATATATGCATAACATAGAAATGTTAAAATACATCAGAATGTGATCACCCAATGGGTTCACCTTGCCCACTGCCTAGACAGAGCCAATTTATCAAGACAGGGGAATTGCAGTGGAGCAAGAGTAATTCACACAGAGCCGGCTGTGTGGGAGACCAGAGTTTTATTATTACTCAAATCAGTCTCCCCGAAAACTTGGGGATCAGAGTTTTTAAAGATAATTTGGTGGGTAGGGGCTTGGGAAGTGGGGATTGCTGATTAGTCAGGTTGGAGATGAATTCACAGGGGGCAAAATATCTCAAGCACTGACCTTAGGTTTTGTAACAGTGATGTTATTCCCAGGAGCAATTTGGGGAGGTTCAGACTCTTGCAGCCAGAGGCTTCATGGCCCCTAAAACTTAATTTTTATCTTGCAGCTAATTTGTTAGTCCTACAAAGGCCAAAGGGTCCCCAGGCAAGAAGGGGGTTTTTACAGGAAAGAGCTATTATCAATTTTGTTTCAGAGTTTACACTATAAACTAAATTCCTTCCCAAGGCTAGTTTGGCCTACACCCAGGAATAAACCAGGAAGGCTTAGAGGTTAGAAGATGAGGTCATTTATGTCTGATCTTTTTCACTGTCATAATTTCTCCAGTTATCATATTTGCAAAGATGGTTTCAATCACATCACACAAAACTCAGAAAATTATGAATTTCATGCATACAAATAGCCTTCACTCATCTCGATATGCTTGCCGAGAAGATCTAAGTCCACAAAAATTTGACTGAGCATAAATTTGCATTGGCTTTGCCTATATTCACCAATATTATCTCCTTTCCTTCTAGTTATTGTTGGTATATCATTAAATTAACACAATAAAAGACCAAATGTAAACAACAGAATATTATGAAGACCAAAGGAAAGATAAAATGGGAAAATGTTAATGCTTATAACTGTTCCTCTTAAAGTTTGATTTCTTACTGCTCTGTAATGGTTACCTAGGTATCATTTAGTAATTGTGCACAAATATCCATGGCCATTTAAAATGCAATCATAACCACATTTGTGGATACTTAATAGTCAATTTACAGTAATAATTGAAAGCACAAAGAACAAGTTTTTGCTTAATTACTATGTGACAGACTGTATTTTGTACTTTCGTGTATATGTGATACTGTAGTGCTTTTGACCAGTATGCTGCATTAAAATACAAATAAAACTTTATTTCAGATGTTACTTGTTATATAGGGTCTGCAACTGCTAAGTGTCATTTGGCCAAAAAATAAATATAGAGTGACTGGATGAAACCTCCCTGAGGACAAACATTAAAAGATTGCCATTCTCAAAGATTTAAATATGGGACACCTACATCCTACAAAGTGATGTAAAATATTATGGTATTGAGTGGTATGAGGGTAATGTATGCAGCTGCAATAAAGAGAAAAATTTAGATATATTTACCCTCTTACACTGTATCTGATAGTACCATCAAGCAATATCACATGTTTTACGGTACAACCTGAGGCTACTACTTTTTAAGATTCTACAAAATAATCTCTGTCTCTCTCTCTCTTTCTGTCATTATACCGTAGTATTCTTGGGGAGAACAGAGTTGCTTAAAGGCATCTTAACTTCTAACCTTTTGGGATATTTCTTTTACTCAACAGACTATATCTCATAACATAATAGCTAGAAATAATCTAGTCTAAAATATTTACTATAGCAGCATCAAAGAAGTAATCCAATTCAAATACAGAAAGAGACAAAAGAAAAATTATTTACTTTAAAAGTGTATTTTTTTTTTCAATAAAAAGGGGGGAACCTCAGATTTACCTCAATGTTTCCTTTGGTGCAAATACCATATTGAAGACTAATATTATTTCAGCCATGGCATAAAAATGTTTTAACCACAAGTGTTAGACTTCATAACTTCACATTCAAATTGGATTTCATTTTGTAGTTCACATTTTTATGAATTTGGAGGGAAATTAAGTTAAAATATGTAATAATTGAACGTCAATTATATGTTCGACTTCATGCATGAGAATTGAGAGGAAGGGAGAGGATGTATCTTATTTAGCTTTTTGTTTATAATATCTAGCACAGTTCCTTGTACATAGTAGTAATCAATATATTTTTGCTGAAAGATAAATGAAAGAATGAAAGAACATTGTATTAGTCATCTATTATTGTGTAACGAATGATCTAAAAACTTAATGTCTGAAATGTTTATTATCTCATTTTCTGTGGATGAGGAATACTGGCTTATCTGAGTCCTCTGGTTCAGGGTCTCTCACAAGCTTGAAATCAAGTTGTTGGTATAGGATGAGGGTCTCCTCTGAAGGCTCAGCTGGGAAAGGATCCACTTGCAAATTTATATGGTTGTCAGAAAAATGCAGTTTCTTAGGGCCTGTTGAGCTGAGGGCCTGGATTCCTAACTGGCTTTAGCTGGAACCACTATCACTTCTTTGCCACGTGAGCCTCTATGACTTGGCAGCTTGATTTATAAAAGTGTGAGATTTGGGAAGGCAATAAAGAGAGTTTACTAGCGAGACAGAAAGTCACAATCTTTTGTAACTTAACTACAGAAGTGACATCCCTTCACCATAGCCATATTATATTGTTAAAAGCATGCCAGTAGATCCAGTCCACATTGAGGGAAAGGATTTAAACAGGCTGTGAATACTGCAATTTCTCCTTATTGCAGTAAGGTCCTCTGAACGGGCTATACCATGGTTGAGCCACTGTGACCCCTGTGACCCACACATACAGGCCTCCTGGAGTCACAAAGCCTGGAGCAACAGGAGAACCACTAAAGAAGAAACAGCTAGTTCCTGCCTTAACCGATTAACCGACGTTGCAACATTCCACCATTGTGATACGTTCCTGCCCTACCCTAACTAATCAATCAACCTTGTGATATCGTGCCTTGTGACCTCCCCCCACCTTGTGACTATGCACCTTGTGACATTCTTCTCCTGCCCGAAAAAACTGCCCCTAACTGTAACTTTCTACTACCTACCCCAAACCTATAAAACCAGTTCCACTCCCACCACACTCTGCTGACTCCTTTCTTGGACTCAGCCCACTTGCACCCAAGTGAATAAGCAGCTTTGTTGCTCACACTAAGCCTGCTCAGGTGGTCTCTTCACACGGATGTGCTTAACAAATACCAGTAGTTAGAAATCACTGGGGACCAATGATTTGTTATGGTCCCCAATAACAAATATATATTAAACACAGAAGAAAATTCTTACCATGCAGAAATCCTTCCAATTCAAAATGAGTCAAAAAATTTAAAATAGAAATGAACAAATATTTACTATAAAGTACAAATTATGTGATAAGTGAGGAATAAGCTCTGTTTTTTTTTAGACGAAGTTTCGCTCCTGTTGCCCAAGCTGGAGTGCGATGGCGTGATCTCGGCTCACTGCAACCTCTGCCTCCCAGGTTCAAGTGATTCTCCTGCCTCAGCTTCCCGAGTAGCTGGGATTATAGGCGTGTGCCACCATGCCCAGCTAATTTTTTGTATTTTTAGTAGAAAAGTGGTTTCACCATGTTAGCCAGGCTAGTCTCAAATTCCTGACCTCAGGTGATCTGCCCGCCCCAGCCCCGCAAAGTGCTGGGATTACAGGCGTGAGTCACTGTGCCCAGCCCTGATTTTTTTTATCCTGCCCAAATTCCTACCTAAGGGGTCAGGGGAGTCACGTCCTATAAACCATAATTTCTCATCAGATGGGTTTCATTTAACCCTGTATATCGTGACTTATTTTCCAATCTGACTCTGGCATAACAAGGAAGAAAAAATATTTTGCCACAAAGCATGTTTCTCTGCCATATCTTGAAATGGCCCTGCAAATCTATCCCTTGTGGGAAAAATCCACATTCTATAGAAATTCTCTTTTCCTTTTGTTTTCCTTTTTTCCTTTCCAGATCCAGGAGATAATCAACTAAGAGCCAGGCACTCTTTTAGGTCCAATAAGAAACATTTTACAACCTGCTCTCCCTGAAGTCTGCCATCTGAGAGCTTCCTCTCCGCAACAAAACTTGGTCTCCACAATCTTTTATCTTAACTTGAACATTTACTTTCTATTGATCTCAGGTCTTCAGATAAACTCAACCAATTGTCAACCAGAAAATGTTTAAATTTCCAAATTTCCTTATAGCCTGGAAGGTCCCTGCTTTCAGTCTTTCTGAACCAAACCAATACATTTCTTTTTTTTTTTTTTTTTTTTTTTTTTTCAGACGGAGTCTCGCTCTGTTGCCCAGGCTGGAGTGCAGTGGCACCATCTTGGCTCACTGCAAGCTCCGCCTCCCGGGTTCACGCCATTCTCCTGCCTCAGCCTCCCGAGAAGCTGGGACTACAGGCGCCCACCACCACGCCCGGCTAATTTTTTTTGTATTTTTAGTAAAGACAGGGTTTCACCGTGTTAGCCAAGATGGTCTTGATCTCCTGACCTCGTGATCCGCCCGCCTTGGCCTCCCAAAGTGCTGGGATTACAGGCGTGAGCCACCGCGCCCGGCCAGAGCAAGTTTTATTGTGCGACAGAGCAGTTTCCAGGGGAGAGGGGAACTGAGGGGGCGGCCCCCTACCTGAAGCTAGGTAGCTCCCCCATCAAGTGTGGCTGAGTCCAGCGCTTTTATAGACCCAGAATTGGGGTGGTGTGGGCCACAAGTAGCACTGGAAAAGGCAACATTCAATTGTTTAACTTGAATTTAAACACTTATTCAGAAAGAACCAATCAGGAAAGAGCAGGCAAATAGGAATAGAAATTTTCACTCCAGGTCACAGGCTTCACCTGGTACCAGCAACCCAGTTTTCAGGCATCAGGCTGTTTTTGGTTTGAAGGTGAGGTTTCACTGGGGACCCGATCCTGTCTGCCTAAGATTTGTCTGTCACCTGCCTCTATCACAAAGATGTGTTCTGGGTTTTCCTAAGATAATGGTGGTTAGCTAAATCTTAGTTTACAAGATTTCTGCAAACCCTATGAAAAGTCATACAGATCAACAAAGATAACAAATATAACCACAAATAACCCACACGTTCATCATAACAAGAAGGCAGAGGATACTACGTATTTTATATTACCTGGAAGTGAGAGGTGACAGCGTGCTGGCAAGTCCTCGCAGTCCTCGCTCGCTCTGGGCGCCTCCTCTGCCTGGGCGCCCACTCCGGCGGCACTTGAGGAGCCCTTCAGCCCGCCGCTGCACTGTGGGAGTCCCTTCCTGGGCTGGCCGAGGCCGGAGCCGGCTCCCTCAGCTTGCTGGGAGGTGAGGAGGGAGAGGCGCGGGCGGGAACTGGGGCTGCGCCCGGCGCTTGCGAGCCAGCGGGAGTTCCCGGTGGGGCGTGGGCTCGGAGGGCCCCGCACTGGGAGCTGCCGGCCAGCCCCGCCGATCCCGGGCAGTGAGGGGCTTAGCACCTGGGCCAGCAGCTGCTGTGCTCGATTTCTCGCCAGGCCTTAGCTGCCTCCCCGCCGGGCAGGGATCAGGACCTGCAGCCCGCCATGCCTGAGCCTTACCGCCCCGCCCCGCCCCCCCCCCCCCCCCCGCGCTCCCCCCGCTCCCCCGGCTCCCCCCGCTCCTGCATGGCACGAGCCTCCCCGAGGAGCGCCGCCCCCTGCTCCATGGCGCCCGGTCCCATCCACTGCCCAAGGACAGAGGAGTGAGGGCGCACCGCGCGGGACTGGTAGGCAGCTCTACCTGCGGCCCGGTGCAGGACCCACTGGGTGAAGCCAGCTGGGCTCCTGAGTCTGGTGGGGACTTGGAGACCCTTTGTGTATAGCTAAGGGATTGTGAATACACCAATCAGCACTCTGTATCTAGCTCAAGGTTTGTAAACACACCAATCAGCACCCTGTGTCTAGCTCAGGGTTTGTGAATGCACCAATCAGCACTCTGTATCTAGTTAATCTGGTGGGGACTGGGAGAATCTTTATGTCTAGCTAAAGGATTGTGAATGCACCAATTGGCACTCTGTATCTAGCTTAAGGTTTGTAAATGAACCAATCAGCACTCTGTGTCTAGCTCAGGGTTTGTAAATACACCAAGTGACACTCTGTATCTAGCTAATCTAGTGCGGACATAGAGAACTTTTGTGTCTAGCTCAGGGATTGTAAATGCACCAATCAGCATCCTGTCAAAACGGACCAAACAGCTCTCTGTAAAACAGACCAATCGGCTCTCTGTAAAATGGACCAATCAGCAGGATGTGGGTGGGGCCAAATAAGAGAATAAAAGCAGGCTGCCTGAGCTAGCACTGGCAACATGCTTTGGTCCCGTTCCACAGTGTGGAAGCTTTGTTCTTTCACTCTTTGCAATAAATCTTGCTGTTGCTTGCTCTTTGGGTCCACACTGCCTTTATGAGCTGTAACACTCACCGTGAAGGTCTGCAGCTTTACTCCTGAAGCCAGCGAAACCACGAACCCGCCGGGAGCAACGAACAACTCCAGACGTGCTGCCCTAAGAGCTGTAACACTTAGAAACTGTGATTTCTATGTGATGGCAATTAATTTAAATGCTTACAAATATCTAGTGAGTTAAATATTTGAATTTTTACAACATTTCAAGGAAAAAAACATGTCCAAGTGCCAAAACAAAAGCAATTGCAATCACACTTTTGCTGTCCCTTACATAGCTTTTCGTAACTCTGCCCTGAAAATCTAATTTAGAGCTTTGAAAGCAGCAAAATGTAATTATATTTTTATTAGATACACAAACTGTAATTATATTATAGTTTTCTTCTGTGAATATTCTAAAATGTGCTTTTAGAGGATTCTTTAACACAAATGCTGCCTAAAGTGACAACTGCTTGAGGCAAAGAGGTTATGAACCACCACTGTAAAATTGTGAGAGCTGCAAGACTTATGCATGTGATCACTGTACATGAAGCTCAAATTTTTTTCAAGTGTTTATTAAAAACAGCCAATCAACACATAAAACATCAGAAAAGGGCTGGGTGCGGTGGCTCACGCCTATAATCCCAGCACTTTGGGAGGCCGAGGCCGGCGGATCACCTGAGGTCAGGAGTTCGAGACCAGCCTGGCCAACATGGTGAAACCCCGTCTCTACAAAAGTACAAAAATTACCTGGGCATGACGGCATGTGCCTGTAATCCCAGCTACTTGGGAGGCTCAGGGGGAAGAATCACTTGAACCTGGGAGGAGGAGGTTGCGGTGAACCGAGATCCCACCACTGTAACCGTGCACTCCAGCATGGGCAAGAGAACAAGACTCCATCTCAAAAAAATAAAAATAAAAAAAATCATAAAAGTACAAGCTGCCTTATGCAAGAACTGTAGTGTGGTAACTATCATACAAAGTTTACATTTACTTCTCAATAATGTACATACATATCATATTTGAAATAATTTAAGATTCTTTCTGTTTCTCCCAAAATGGATTGTACAAATGCTTAGTTTTAGGAGACAACTTTCCCCTTCCAGTTCCATATAAAAATAGTTTGAAACAGAGAAAACCTCCTTTTTTTTTTTTTTTTTTTTGAGACAGGGTCTCACTCTGTCGCCTAGACTGGAGTGCAGTGGTGCGTTCTCGGCTCACTGCAACCTCCGCCTTCCAGGCCCAAGCGATTCTCCTGCCTCAGCCTCCCAAGTAGCTGAGATTACAGGCATGCGCCACCACGTCCGGCTAATTTTTATATTTTCAGTGGAGACGGGGTTTCACCATGTTGGCCAGGCTGGTCTTGAACTCCTGACTTCAAATGATTCACCCGCCTTGGCCTCCCAAAGTGCTGGGATTACAAGCGTGAGCCACCGCTCCTGGCTGAGAAAACGTCCATTTTAAAAAGTCAAACATTCCTTCCTTTTCTTCCTCCTCCCCTTTCTCAATCTTTCCATTCCCCTTCAGCCTAACATCCTCATCATATACACTAATCTATACTTAGAGATGCAAATACCGTATGTAGTTGAGATATGCATGTATTTCTACTTAACTATTAAAGCCTTATGGAAATGGCAGTTGTTCAAATAAAGCTTAAAAAATGAGAAACTAATTTTAACTTCAGAAGTTTTGAACCTTCTGTAGGGATCTTCCAGTATGGCTATAATACTTTTGATCATAAGAATATCCATTGGTACAAAATAAAGATGTAATTAGCCACTGGGTAGAAGAGGTTGAGACAAATTGGAATTATGTGAATATATTTTATGTACTGTATGTATCCCCCTTGTCTGGAACTCAAATATATTGGATATGAGAACCTAAGTGAGAGGAACATAATCTGTTTTGAGAAAAATCATGATAAACTGACATTCTACATTGTATTTGTTTGTTTGGTTGGTTTTTTTTTTTTTTTTTGAGACAGAGCTTAGCTCTGTCACGCAGGCTGGTGTGCAGTGACGCGATCTTGGCTCACTGCAACCTTTGCCTCCCGGGTTCAAGCGATTCTCCTGCCTCAGCCTCCCGAGTAACTGGGATTACAGGTGCCCGACACGACGCCCAGCTAATTTTTGTATTTTTAGTAGATATGGGGTTTCACTGTGTTGGCCAGGCTGGTCTCGAACTCCTGACCTCGTGATCTGCCCGCCTTAGCCTCTCAAAGTGCTGGGATTACAAGCATGAGCCACCGCGCCCAGCCTCTACATTGTGTTTTAAAGCTGATCTGTGAGAGTCTTGATATTTTATTTGGAAAATTATATTCCCAAGAAGAAATATGTTTTTTGTTATGTTCCTAATTTGGAGATAATCTAGACTAGTCTTTTTAAGTAAATGGATTCATAAGAGCTAAGTCAGACAATTATTATCTGCTTGTTTGGTAAATCTTTTACAATAAATATAGCTGACAGCTTTAAGAGCATAAATGCAGGTTTCTAAGATAAGTATTTAAATAAATATAGTCTCTAATAATATACATTTTAATTTCAAAGTTATAAGTCAACAGCTCTTAGTAATACTGTAACAAACCTTTTATTATTGGAGAAAATTTCTGTTCTTTTTTAGCAAATCCTTAAAAAACCACTCGACTTTATGAAATCAATATATATTTAACTTCAGTTGTATTTGAACAGGTATGTAAATATTTATTAATCTCTGTTTTGCTTTTTCTTCTTACAGTATATAATAGTTAGCACTGACTTGCCTTCTCAAAGCACCTCCCATTTTCAATTGTCTCTCTTTCTCTGATGATTTTCATGAACCTCTAAGACCTGTGGATTCCACCTCAGTTGAACTTTCTAGCTATGGTGAAATTGATAAATATGGAATACATAATTTTGTTTCCATGGCCAACATCTAAAAATAAGAACATAACATTTTTCTTATCATTTGTATTTGAATGTTCATTTCTTTATTCATTCAGCAAATATTGAGGGCTTTCATTGAAGGGATAGGTCCAGTTCTTGTCCACACAGAGCTTTTAATCAAGAGGAACCAACTGACAATAAACTGCCAATACCACAATAGTTTTAAAAGTTTCACTGTGCTAACTTCTACCTTGGAGAACTATAGGAGGCCATGAGAGCGTAGGTCCTGGGAACCTGACTGCTAAGGATCCCACAGGAAGAGACCAACACACGCAACTGAAGGGTGAGCAAAATTTAGCTGAATTTTGTAAAGAAGGAGAAAGCTTTTTCTGCTCACCAGAGCAGCCCGTGGAAATTGTTCATGGTAAAAACTAAGTGGGCCCATTTGAGGAAGAATTTATGTGGGTGGAGTGGAGGGAGTGGGAAGAGCTTGCCAATAAACAAAATGGGCAAAATAGGCAAGGGTGAGACCATTCAAGGTATGGTGAGGATTTGGGACTTATAATAATCAGAGACAACTCAATGTTTTATGAATGGAAGTTATGTTCTTTTTTAATGGTAAATTTATTGAAAGGGGATTAGGAAAGAAGTTAATGAAACTTCTGCAGTAGTTCAGGCAAAGTGATGGCTTGCCTAAGGGTGAGGGGAAGATGTAGATTAAGATCAAGAAATGTCTTGCTAGTGTAAATTGAAAGCTATATGAACAGTCATGAATGGCAACTAGAATCACTGAGCTTATCACTTCAGTGTTGAATACATACCCTTAACAAATATACATAATGTTTTAATCAATTTTCAGAAATTGCAGAATGGTTTTTTGGTCTAAAATGAGAAAGATTGAAAGAATCACAGCAAAAATAATGTCACAAAACAATAATGATAAAGATCATTTGGGTGTGGCAGTGAAGTGATGATATTGAACAAAAAGAGCATGTCTTTCATTGAAAGTTTATCCTTGCATACTTACTGTTCAACTTAATCTCAGGATCACAGGGCCAACAAGTCATGCAATGAAAGCTATGTTGACCAAGAATTCCTGTTACTTTGGTAAATTTCCTCAGGACAATGATTGAGTTTTAATTAATATATCAGAATATCAGTAATTTTTTAAAACAGAATGTTTAATAAAATATGGTAAATAATTAAAAACCATTAAATTATAAATTATTTACAAAATTAATATACATTTTGATATGTAATAAATACATTTCATAGCAAACTCAAGAAAAGTGTCTCAATGATAAAGAAATGAATTTCAAAGTATAATGAAAATTATTTTCCATGTTCTTTCTCTAAATTACTGCAGTTTTCTCTGATTTAATATAAAGTATATCCATTTGATTGACAGGAGAACATAATAAACATAAGAAATTAATGGAGTCACTGAAGACAAATTTTAAATATAATAAAGTTGGTAAGGTATTCAAGAAAAATAGAGGATGATACACAAACTACCAGAAGCTATTATCTTGAAACATCTAATTTTAAAAATGCCATCTGCACACTCATTATTTTTATAAATGGCATGTTTTTGAAGGGGTATTTCATTTACATGTTTTTGCTTCACTTTCATAAGATTATTTAATAGATCAACATTTTGATTAGCTTGAAATAACTTTATTTTACTCTTATATAACAGCAAGAACAGTAAGTAACAAAATGAAAATTGAAGGAGGAGGCCAGGTGCAGTGGCTCATGCCTGTAATCCCAGCGCTTTGGGAGGCCAAGGCGGGTGGATCACGAGGTCAGGAGATCAAGACAATGCTGGCTAACATGATAAAACCCCGTCTCTACTAAAAATACAAAGAAATTAGCCGGGCGTGGTGGTGGGCGCCTGTAGTCCCAGCTACTTGGGAGGCTGAGGCAGGAGAATGGTGTGAACCTGGGAAGTGGAACTTGCAGTGAGCCGAGATCGTGCCACTGCACTCCAGCCTGGGCGATAGAAAGAGCGAGACTCTGTCTCAAAAAATAAAAGAAAATTGAGGGAGGAAAACAAGTATACATCTGGTGCTCTTCTTATCTGCTTTCTTTTAAACAAAATACCAGAGATTTTTTTAAAAAGTGCCTTCCTGAAACATAAATATTTTATCTGAGCTTTCAGCAATTGGCATTCAGTTTCAGACGAATCTAAAATTTAGGTACTATATTTTTGCACCATCTTTTTTTTCCTTTTTTTGTAATTCTGAGAAAACTCACTGAAGGACATTGAGAGAATTATAAACATCAATTGTCAGTGACTGAAGATGTAAAATGGGCCCTGTAGTATATCACTATCACATAATATCCAACTAGAGCTTTAAATTATAATAATAGTAATATCTAACACTTATAGAACACTCACTGAGAAACGGGGACTTTCTAAGGATTACACATTCATTTACACATTTAATCCTCAAAAATATCCTATAAAATGAATACTATTATCATGTCAATATTACAGTTGAAGAAACTGAGTTTACAGTGAGGTAAAGTAATTTTCTTAAGATCCCACAGAGACTGAATGAAAGAACCCAAGCTGGCCGGGTGCAATGGCTCATGCCTGTAATCCCGGCACTTTGGGAGGCCAAGGCGGGCAGATCACCTGAGGTTAGGAGTTCGAGACCAACATGGAGAAACCCCGTCTCAACTAAAAATACAAAATTAGCTGGGCATGCTGGCACATGCCTGTAATCCCAGCTACTTGGGAGGCTAAGGTAGGAGAATAGCTTGAACCAAGGAGGCGGAGGTTGTGGTGAGCCAAGATCACGCCATTGCACTCCAGCCTGGGCAACAAGAGCGAAACTCTGTCTTAAAAAAAGAAAGAAAGAAAGAAAGAACCCACGCTTTCTGACTTCAAACTTTACATCCCAGGATATCAGGCCTGTCACATGGTATATGGAGGTACAATTCGCATCACGGTCTGGAAGTATGCAGTACATTACCTGTGAATAGGAATGTGGCGGCCCCTAGGGTCAGAGGTAAGATGAAGAGGAGCCAGTGGTGGAGATAGAGAAGGAGCAGCCAGTGAGATAGTAAATTAATAAGGCTAGTCATGAAAATCAAGAGCAGAAAGTGCTTCAACTTGGTCAAGTGGTAAATGTTGCTGATGGGTTGAGTAAGCTTAGAATACAAATCTCACTATTGTATCATGCCTACTGGAAAAAGTTGGCAGTCATGTCAAGGGAAGTCTTACTAGAGTGAGAACAGAAGCCTTGATGGAGTGAGTTGATTAGAGAAAACAAAGTGAGAAGGAGCAGAGCAAAGGGTCAAGGATAGCAGGCCAATGTGGAGTCACAGAAAGATCAATGACAGTTTCCCCAGTAACTATTTGTGGTGACAGATCAAAGCCAACATGAGAGTTTATATACAACATGCAAACAAAATACAGCAAGATGACTGGCCTAGGGTGAAACCAAATCAGTGTGACACATAAATCAGCAAATCAGGCACAAAAAAGACAACAGGTTAATCAAAAAACAATGGCCTCTAGCTACAAAGCACATGAAAAATAAAAGAGAAGAGTAATGAATCTGATGCGACCTTAAGCAATAAACTACTCCTATGAAGAAAATCTCATAGAGAAAGTCACTGAACTAATTTCCAGAGAGGCACAAGGAATACCTGGACCAAGAGTTGCTTATGAAGAAGAAATGCAAGTATAGGGAAAATTCTGACTAGAGAGAATGATTCGTAATGTTGTACAAGCAACGAGACAAAACGGAATCTCAATATACAAAGAAAATAATATTTTAATAGGGTGATATTAACAGGTTTAAATAGTACAAAGGCATAGATAAAACATGTTGGAGAGATGTCCTTTGAACAGCTTGAACAGAGTCTGTGTTTTGTTAATTCCAGCATCTCTGGGACTGAGCATAATATCTGGCAGCAAAAATGTACACTAGATTGTTGTTGAATGATAAAGATATTAAAGTGATCCATCCTTGTTACCTCAGTGGTGTATAAGATGAGTGAGTGTGAAGAGAGAGCACAGGAGTCTTGATATTTTTATTTAATAAGGTTTGATAGTTTTTTTTGGACTGAGGGAAAGAAGATAATGGCAACAAATGGAGGCTGATGGGAAGAGAATGGTGGGGATTCTTATCTCCTCCTTATCAGGTTTATGTAGAGGAGTCTGTTTATTCACAAGAAGGAAACGGTATGAAAGGAAAAAAAAAAATCCCAGTTTCGATCTGCCTCCTCACTCTCCTCACTCATGATTTGCCAGAGGAAGAAAACCAACATAACTGATAGTGAATTTGGGTGAAGAGCTAGAAGAGGAGCAGACGAACACACTCTTTTCTTTCTTTCTCAAAGTCTTGAATCCAGGATTCACACTTTCTCTTCCTCCTGCATATGTAAGTTCTCTGTCCCTGCAGGAAATTTACAACTTGCCAGCTTGGGTGAATGCATTCAATATTTGTGAAAAAATTGCATTCAATAAGCTCATTTTGTCCAGAGGTCTAGGCCACTGTCCAATTCATCTTTAGAAATAATTAACATGACATTTTTATTTCCATCTGCCTTATTTCTACGTCTACTTCTCAGTTGATTTTAAATTCAGATGAGGTATGATTAATTATCACTCCTTAATCCCTATCACAGTCCAAGCCACAGAGTATAGGGCTTCAATTTCCATCACAAGGGATTTAGGAGACAACCGGAAGTACAAAATGGCACGAACAACACAAATCATTTGGGCACTCTTTAATGTGCTGAGTAACTATAATTGAATTACATACAAAGGGAAAACAGCTGGTTGCCTTTGCATATAGTAAAGAATAAAGTTGTACTCAGGGTTGTGATTAGACTTGTCCCTTCATAAAAACATAGGTGGAAGGCAGAGAGACTTAACATAGAGTGCAGGCAAGTCAGTCACACCCTTGGAGTAAGGGCAAGGAAAGGAACCAAGTTATCATCAAATGCCTTTAAGACCAGAAAAGGGAGAGGTCAGCTGAATCATTCAAATATTCAGGTACCATACAGACAGAAAAATGCTGAAGTCAAGAGGGAGCTGATAAAATCTACTTCTGTGTGGCAGCGAAAACTTGAGGAGAACACAAAATAACATTTACAAATTGAAGTGTCTTTAGTCAAAAAATAGATGAGCTTGTTGAATTTGGTAGCACTAAGCAGAGAAAAAAAGTGTTTTAGTGGGAATGATGGGTGATAAGCCCGCAAACCTTCCACTTAGTTATTTGCAACATTAGATGTTGTTTATGATAAAAGTTAATGAAACAGTAAAATTAAAGTCATATTAAGAAGTATATTTTCAAGAAATATTTGAGAGATTGTTTTTCTAATATGCCTTTCAAATTTCTCAAAATTATACTGGCAGCTTTCATGTAGATCTTGCTCATCGAGGGGAAAGTGATTTTTTTTTTCAGGTAGTAACTTTAATCAAGTCCTATTATAACATTTCTAATTTCTTTAGTTTAAAACCTGACAAGAGTGTCAAGTAGTAAAGTAGTGAGAACATATTAAAATATTTCCCATATACAACATTTCATTATACCGTCCTTTGTACATAGAATCATTTTTGTTCATCAAGATAGATTTCAAATAGAAATAAATTTTGAACACAATCTTGGTTAAGTTCTTACACTGAAACTTAACCATTAAACTTCGATGAAGTGTAGCAAGATTATACAAAACAATCTTTTCACATCTGAATGAGACTGGACATTTCCAATGTACCATCAATATCATTTGTTCGCTTATTAAAATTTTGTTTCATTATGAAATACTTAACAAATTTACTTTAGTCCTGCAATTTGGCAGCTAAGTGTTACACATTTGAATTCTGAGGTTAGTCCACTATATTCTCTTTGTCACTGATTTGCCTATTACCAGTTTTTGCTATAAATGGAAGAATGGCTTACTGGGTTAAATTTAACAAACATTTTATTTTAAAAGTTTTCTCTATTAGTTTTACTAAAGCAAATTATGTACCTAGGTTATAATAACATTTCCAAGAGAAATGGAATTAGTTTCCATCTGTCCAATTTTAAGTTGAACAAATAATTTAGTAATTTAAACAGTAATTGAGGGAGTTGGCAATAAAATAGTCTACTCTTTCCATGTGAATATATTTCAATTTTATTTATAAATTTAAGCCTTGTAATTAATTTTACCTTGTTTGCAATTAAAAATTAAAATTTACTCAGACAAAAGGAAATAGCAACTATTAAAAACAGCATAATCAAAAATTAATTGTATTTCCTAGTAATAATAAGATAATTCTTATATTGCAAAATTATTACTAACTAGCTGATGAATAAGAGGAATGTGATTTGTGTGAGATCTCAAACATTTTTGTGTAATTCCTAAAAACTTATGGGATGTAGTTGAATGCATATGACCAATACTTATTTCATAATTCTCCACATTTAAGAAAAAAATAATTACTTTTATCTCATCTACTGAAGGTGAAAGGGGAATTATTCTGGCAATATTTTTTTATTCATTTACTTAAGAAATATTTAATAGTTCCTGAAACTCTACCACATGCACTGTTAAGACTCTTATTTGCAAGCAACAGTACTCCACTTTGAACAATATTGGAAGATAGTGTGGATTTTATGAAGTGAATGAAAGGGTTGAGTAATGGTCACTGCACCAGATCTATAACTTGATGAGTAGTCAGATAAAGCAGCCTGTAAGGGGAAAAAAAAATGAAGAAAACATGCAGAGAAAAGAGATTAAGAGATCCCCTAGCTTTACATTTTACAGATTCAGTCTCTGTATTCTGACTACAAAAGCTGTGAGGGAAAGGACTCATAGCCCAACCCTGATCAGGTACCCACTTGGAAAAATTAGCAGTGAGCAAGGGGACACATAATTGAAGGAATATTATAAGAACGTGTGGCTGATGGTAGCAGTGTCTAGAAGAATAGAATGGGGGTGGGGGGTACAAAGTAGCCTAGACAGCCTATCCCACTGATATCTACCATATTGGAAAAGCAAATGATAAATGTGTAGAAGTAGCCAGTTGTCCCAATTAATTAAATTATAGGCTGGAGACCTAGGATATAAGTTAAACCACATATAATCAACAGTAGTTGACCATGTTTGCCTTTAAAACTGGCTACTTAATGTGTTACAACCTAATCATTCAGTAAGTAATGGAAAAAAGTAAAAGTGACAGAATCAAACTGAGTAGAATATCCAAAAAGGCAAAAATGAAGTGGAAGCAACTTGGGCTAACTGATTGGCCACTCTATGACAGACACTATACCTTAAACAGGAGTCCTTTTACAACTACTTTGGTTTTAACATTTTGCATTTTGTTTGGATCTTACAATATTTAAAAGACAAAGCAACTGGACAGGTGTTAGGTCGGGTTACAATATGAAAAACTCAGCTGCTACACTCTCACACCTATGCTGTTTCTATGTTTATACTACCTGATAGCCCACCCAAAGTCATCTGTATTTGCCATGATCACCTGCATATTCTTGGAAGGATGGATTGAGGAGCTTAGCAGTTACAAAGACATTGCAATGGCCCGTGCAAGAGATGATAGGATAGTTAAAAGTTAAAAACATGATCCTTGCTAAAAGATGAGCCTGGCCCAATAACCAATCTTTTCCACTTTCAAGCTATTTTATCTGAGCAAGGTCATCTTGACAAATAACCTTCCTTATGTGCAAAATCTAAATACACTACTTGTCACAAAGGCTTTCTGAGATGATTAAATGAGATAACGGTCTAATTATTACAAAACATAAATCTCTTACAACAATTCCTGGAACATAGTACACATTCAGTAAATTGGCATAGATATCAATAGGTTCTAATCTGGGGGAAAGGGCATGGTAGAGCTTCAGTTGCAGCAGTGTGGGCCATGTGACTGAGTTCTGATCAATAGGATGTAAGCAGAAATTATGTGTGCAACTTCAGGTCGTGGCTTTAAAAGGAACTAGCTTGCTCTCCACTGCAGGTGTGACTATGGAATTGAACATTCACAGGAAGGCAACTTAGGGGATAGTGGGACAACAAAAAGTAAAGAACCTGGGTCCTCGGATAATACAAAGGGACAAAGGCACTACACTTCTTGAACTACCTACAAGTACAGGTTTTCATGTGAAAGAAAAATGAGCCAGTCTTGTTTGTCATTGTTACGTGGTCACTGTTAAAACAGCTCAAGTGCATTCCTTACTAATATGTACAAGGAATCTAGATGGTTTTCTCTTTAAAAACTACTTCCACCACTCAAGTATGAGTGGAAGCATGGAAGTTCACATGCCTAATTGATTATGATGTAGCACCATCTCAGTGGTAATGGATTGTGCTGGGAGAGGAAGAACTATCCATATTACTTCAATAATTTCTTGAATTGTTAAAAATGTGCATTTTTAATTTAAGCAATAGAAATGTCCACTATTACATTAAAACTATTTTACTGTACTCTGTTGTAACTCCCTCAGTTATATCTCATTTATATCCTTTTACCACTGAAATAATTAGATCAGAAACAAAGCTAATAAAATTGGGATTAAAGTTAAATAGAAACATAGATATGGATGAAGCAAACTGGGGAAGATATTTTGTTCTGCAAAAAATTGAATGCTTAAATTTGTCATCAACTTGCTATTTAAATAATATGTAAACATAAATTGTTTACCCCTTAAATTGAATGAAATACTGCCATAGCAATTTCCCCTTCAACGTGTATTAGCTTCATTCCATGTTAGTTCATCTGGAAGTCAGTTGAGAAGCAAAGTCTGCATGATTGGGATTTCATTTTGCCAGACCATCATATTAACTTTTTGAGAAATTGTAAGGCTCTAAATGTCAGAGGAATTATGAGGGCCCAAGTGCACCATCCGAAATTCAAATCAAGATGGTTTTGTCTTTCTGTGCTCATGGGATATTTCGGTCCTTAGCAAATTCATCTTCTGACAAATTTGGTCCAAAAATTTGAATCCTAAAGCTGAAGCTGTTTAAATCAAATCTTTTTCATTATTATTAGCATCTCTCTGTAGCTAAAAAACAAATATTGCTTGCTGAGAACTATACAGATCTCAGAAAAATCATTTCACATAAAAGAGGGAGAGAAATTGCCTTGCCATTATGTTAGCATTTTAACTTTTATTAACATTGTAATTGGTAGTGTACAAAACACAGGAATTGTGATATTAAACCTGACTTTCTAGTAGGCATCAAATACATCTAAAAATAATGACTGACACAAACATGAATAATTCTTTTACTACCAGGGTCAAAACATTTCATTACCAAAATGCTTGCCTAAAAAGATAAAATGCCTCAAATCAATATTTTGATATATATTCAAAAGCACAAAACATATGTGAGCAATCCATGGATTGTTCAAAATGTGCTTCCTTTTTGCTGGTGACATTTATTTCTAGTAAAACACTGATGTGGTGTTATGATAAACACACACACACACACACACACACACACACTAAGCCATGCACACAGGGTTAAGAAGAATTCTGGACAGAAATATAGTTATAATTAAACATTAATCAGACTGCACTTATACCCGTTTGTCATCGCGAGCCACATAGCACTTTCGCATGCCTATTGTTCCTACAAACAGGATATCTGACATTAGAATCATAAGGCTTTCATTTAAGAATTGCTTAAGATGTTTTTCAGATTTCAAATTCCAGCAAAACAGCTGATGCCAACCGGTTTGAAGACCCCCACAGAGAAACAAAATCAGCATGAGAATACAGTTTCTTCATCTCCCTGTCCCAAGACTTTGCCCTGCATGCTTCAACCAATCAATGATCTGCACACTTTAGCCCACTCCAAAATCCTTACAAACTCTAGCCCCAGATGCACTGAGGAGACAGTTTTGAAGTTTCCTCCTGTCTCCTCAATCAGTGACCCTATTTTTAAACATCTTTCTTTGCTGTCACCCAGTGTCTCAGTGTATTGACTTGCCCTATGCATCAGGCAATGGACTTATTACAGATAGATAGATAGATAGATAGATAGATAGATAGATAGATAGATAGACAGATAGATATTTTGTCTGTGGTTCTTGGCGGATACATTCCATAGTCCTGGTTACAGTCTTTTGCTATAATGTTGGGTTTGTTAGGCCTGAAGGGGAAGGCCTCGGGAAACAATTGTTCTGACCTTCTCCTGCCCTCCTCTCACCTGACCCAAGGCAGGACTCTCATTTTCCCTTGCCTTTCTGATTGTGGGTCCTAAGACCCTCATTCCATAGAACATTCCACCCCATTTCCTTCCCAGGGGAAGGAAAGCTGCTGTTACAAAACTTCCAAAAAAATGGGTTCAGAAAGCTTCTGGATAGCTGAACGTGTGAAGGTTCCTCGGGGGGTGGCACGCCTGGGGAGGACATGGAAGCTCTGCACACCCTTCCCACATACCTTACCCCACACATCTCTTCTTCTCTATCCTTTGTAATATTCTTCATGATAAACTGGTAAGTGTGTTTCCCTAAGTTGTGTGAGCCCCTGTAGCAAATTAATTGAACCCACAGAGGAGGCTGTGGGAACCCCAACTTGAAGCTAATGGGTTAGAAGTTCCAGAGGCCTGAACTTGCTACTGGTGTCTGAAGTAAGGAGAGCAGTTTTGGGGACTGAGCCCCCAACCTGTGGAATCTGACACTGTCTTCAGGTAGATGGTGTCAGTATTGAATTGGAGGATGCCCAGTTGATGTCCATTGCGATTATTTCTTGCTTGCTGGTGGGGAAAAAAATCTCCACATATTTGGGGGTTATAGAAGTCTTCTGTGTTGATGATTATTGCCATTTTGATGTGAGAGGAGAGAAAAAAAATATGATTTAAGTATTTTTTCAAACAACTGGATATTTGAAAAATAAAATAAAATATTTTAAATTATGTTGGATTCAAAATTAGCTGCCAAATTTACAAGTAAAACCCTGTAATTTATATACAATGTATTCTTTATGCTTGATTACAAAAAATATTTCGACATTTTATCTAATTCATTTCAAATTTTCTATTTATTTAAATAAAAAGCATTTTATCTAAGATTCTGTTTCTAAAATTAAGGCTGCAACACATGGTCTCAATCATTGCTAAAAAAAATCACAAAAAGACAGTAAGGAAGAAATTAAAGTCAGCTGGTAGTGGAAATTGTTGTTATAATAGGTTTTTCTCTTTTCACTGTTGACAGAATCACAATCTATGTCTCATAAATCCATAAATAACTTTAATTACTGTCATTTGGGAGTGTGACAACAATTAAAGACAACAAATGTAAGAGCTGAGCACTTGCTGAGAACTACTCAAATAATACATTGAATAAAAAAAAGGTCAATCAGCACTTTGCAATTCAAGAAAACTAAGTTTTTAATATTTTTAAAAAGTATTCATGACTGTGGTTCTCTTACCCCTTAGCATCTTCATTACAATTCTCTGAACCCCTTTTTAGACATAGTGCACAACCTGTCAGTCGTGAGACAGGACTCCAAAAAAATTTACTAGTTGATGTGACATCTACTTTATTTCTACCTAATTACTGGAGAGAAATACTTCCGGTTACTTTGACTGTTAGTGTATATGATCTTAATTGATATATCCGAAAATAAACTGTCATAAAATATGAAACTTCCTTGGTATACAATATCCTGTCATTCCCTCTGGTGTTTATAAATAAATAAATGATCAAACAAATATTTTAAAATAAATGTATGAGTATATACAAATATATAAACACACACACATTCTGCCAAAAGAGTGATTGCTAACCTGTTAAACAGTATGTAAAGATGAGAGAAATGACTAGCAAATAATATGCAAAAAGACACTACTACAGAGAATACAATGGAAAGATATGGACTACATTTAAAAAGACTAAATCGATACATAGGAAATCTGCTCCATGAATATAATTGTATGGCATTCAACTGGTGACTGTGGACATGTGAATTTGCTCATTGTGGCCATAAAAAACTCTATAAGAATTCTGCAAAAATCAATGTGACATTGTAACAAATATTTTCTATGTTTTTGTGTTTTACATCATTTTTCTATTGAAATAATTCTTAAACTACTTACTCAAATGCACCTTAACAATGTGTATATAAACATATTTACTAAAATATTTTAAATTGTAGTTTTTGAATTGTTTTTCCAATTACAAAATAGACTGCTTTTTTATTTGAAAAATAACTATAATTAAAATTAATTATCTCAAAGTATGTTTAAATATGAGATTGGATACTTATGTAGCATATGCATAGTTTTCTATATAGGATAAATGAGAAATTCCTAGTGATCTTATGGGAAAAAATATAATTTATCTGTACAGAGAGTAATTATACAAAGACATGATATCAATATCTTTCCTGAGCCTAGCTTTAGGGTATTCTGGAGCCATGTTAACTAAGAGTCAAATACATAGGAATATTATATCTCTCAAATATGTTAAATGTTACACTTTTTTTTGTTTTTTTTTTGTTTTTGTTTTTTGAGATGGAGTCTTGCTGTGTCTCCCAGGCTGGAGTGCAGTGGTGCAATCTCAGCTCACTGCAAGCTCCACCTCCTGGGTTCATGCCATTCTCCTGCCTCAGCCTCCCAAGTAGCTGGGACTACAGGCGCCCGCCACCACACCTGGCTTACTTTTTGTATTTTTAGTAGAGACGGGGTTTCACCGTGTTAGCCAGGATGGTCTCAATCTCCTGACCTCGTGATCCGCCCGCCTCAGCCTCCCAAAGTGCTGGGATTACAGGCGTGAGCCACTGCGCCCGGCCCTTTTTTTTGTTTTTTAAGACAAGGTCTCACTTTGTTGCCCAGGCTGGAGTGCAATGGCTCCATCATAGCTCACTGCAGTCTTGACCTTCCAGGCTCAAGTGATCCTCCCGCCTCAGCCTCCCTAGTAGTTGGGACCACAGATGTGCACCACCATGCTTATCTAATTTTTTATTTTTCATTTTTGTAGAAACAGGGTCTCCCTATATAGCCTAGGCTGGTCCCTAACCACTGGCCTCAAGGTCTCTACCTCAGCCTCCCAAAGTTCTGGGATTACAGGCATAAGTCATGGTGCCTGGCCATGTTATACTTTTATTAAGTCAGATGCACAGAAAATATAAATTGAATTTAAGGAAAAAGAGAAATAATATAGATAGCAGCTTTTGGAATTTTGTATGTTGTTTTTGTGAAATGAATATTAATGTATTCACTTAAACTGAAAAAATGGTTGTCATCCTCAGATTTATGTATATTTGCAATATGTAGTGCATTTGTAGTATAATAAAATATTAAAAATAAATTTATTTATTTGTTCATTTTTTTTTGAGATGGAGTCTTGCTCTGTCGCCAGGCTGGAGTTCAGTGGCTTGATCTCAGCTCACTGCAACCTCTGCCTCCCAGGTTCAAGTGATTCTCCTGCCTCAGCCTCCCGAGTAGCTGGGACTACAGGCACGCACCACCATGCCCAGCTAATTTTTGTATTTTTAGTAAAGACAGGGTTTCACCATGTTGGCCAGGCTGGTCTCGATCTCTTGACCTTGTGATCCGCCTGCCTCGGCCTCTCAGAGTGCTGAGATTACAAGCGTGAGCCTCCGCGCCCAGTCAATAAATTTATTTTTTAATTCTAAAATTTACAGATTGATATCAAACACTCTAGGCTTAGAATAAATATGTGAAATATACAATACAGATAGAAAGTGAGATGTAAATTAAGATATTTACGATGACTGGGAAAGCATACAAGCTATTCTGATTATAACTACCTTCATTGTCTTAAAGCATTACATTGGAAATTAGTGTGATAAAAGTTACAATTGGCATCATGTCACTCGTCTTGTTCTATAAGCCCTTAAGAAATTTGTGTCCTGGCAATGCAAGGATCATTCCATCACAATGGATTCACATTTGATTGTATTTTCACTGTCACAGTGAAGTCCTTTTCCAATTATCTGACTCAGTGGGTAAGAGCACATAAGAATGCACAAAAGGAAAAGATGGTTCACAGAATAACAACAACAAAAAGTATTTTGGGTTTGACTATAGCCTGTGTGACAGATACAGAAAATGAAAATATATAAAGTAAAATATTGATAGATGATCTAATTAGAAAAGGCAAAGCATATAATCTCCTGTGAGCTACTAAGCAAATAATAGAGATCGACCCAACAGAAATTTATATATATCAGAGTATATAATAAATATACAGCATATATAGAATATGTACACTATATATATAGAGAGAACTTATATAATACATATCAATACAATTACATAAATTCGGTTCTTAACGGCATTTGTATATAAAAATTAGTAATATATACTTGTGCTCTTTGATAAAATGATAACAATACCTAGAACATGATCTATTTCACAATATTAACATTACTATTTGTTTTTGTTAGTGTAATCCAACATACACTAGATAGAAAACTCATGTTTAATTTAATGATCCAGCAATATCCAAGCCAAGAAGATAAAAAGAACATGTCTATATCACTTATATCTTTCTGGATCTTATGCAGAAATCTGGTAAAACAGATATGCAAGAAATTTATATTTTTATCTTTTCATGTACTTTGTTTTAGACTGAAAATTTCTGCTTTTTTATTTTCAATTTGAGAAAAGGAACACTGTAGAAAATTCAGGCAACATTACTGTTAGAATTACAACAGGGCAATATCTAGGCTTTATTACATAACTTTGATCAGATTATTGTGTATTATAAATTTTAAACTCTTCATCTCTATTGAAAATACACAATAAATTAGCTTTAAACACACACACACACACACACACACACACACACACACACTCTGACATTGTTACTGGCAGTGAATCCATATGGGTCTGCAGCAACCTCAGTTCTTGCCTCTCCAGAAGAAGAATTAGACTGAGGGGCATAAGGCAGAAGGAGAGACTGAGGCAAGTTTTAGAGCAAAAGTGAAAGTTTATTAAAAAGCTTTAAAGCAGGAATGATAGGAAGTAAAGTACACTTGGAAAAGGGCCAGCAGGCAACTTGTGAGATCAAGTGCATGGTTTTACCTTTGACTTAGGGGTTTTCTATATTGGCATGCTTCCTGGGTCTGCATCTTCTCCCCTGATTCTTCCCTTGGGGTGGGCTGTCTGCTGCTCAGTGGCCTGTCAGTGCTTGGGAGGGGCCACATGTGCACTGTGTTTACTGGAATTGTATGCATGCTCACTTGAGGTGTTCTTCCTTTACCAACCAAATGTCCCTAGAAGGTCATACACCAGTTAAATTCCATCATTTTGCCTCTTAATGTGCATGCTTGAGCCCACTTGCCCAACTCCTGAGATTGTATCAGAAAGCTCCTGGTCACCAGCTTCAGTTTTTTTCCACCTACTGGTAGACTGCCTTTCTCTGGCACTGGCTATGACCAATTACTATTTAAGAGTGGCAGTTTAACAACCTCCTAACCATCACTTGATGGTCGCCTGACATTCCTAGTGGGTATAGGTGCCAGGGGATGGACCCGTTGTGCCCTGTTCATGTTTGACTAGCTACCTACTGTAACAACATATAGTAGCTATCAAATATTTACACGTTATATATTTGTAACTGAACAGTAAGAATTCTGCTCAGTTAAATTTTTAACAGTAAGTTTAAGAAGTGACAGCAAATGTACCACTGGAGTTTTGAATTTTTACTCCAATTGTTAAAATTAATACTATATAAATAATGGTTTTGGCTTCCAACCTGGGATTTAGGAGTTGAAAGGAGTATTGCTTCCACTCTTACAACAGCAAAAGAAAGGTAGGTTAAACAAGATTGATAAGCACTAGATATCTGCTATACAACATTGTACCTATAGCCCATACTAATTTGTTAAGAGGGTAGGTCTTGTGTTAAGTATCCTTACTAAAATAAAACAAAATAAAATTCTAGACCAATTTCAAAATTAGCCTTTTTCTTAAACCACCAGAGAGCTGAGGTTGCTGGTTTCAAATCCAAGGGCAGCTCATGACTTCAGGGAGAGATGAGCGATAAACAGGCATTCACCTAGAGTGGACACAATCAGATAGTGATAATATCAGTCTAGCTAAAATGGATGACAAATTAATGAAGGCCAAGTATGACCTAGTGAGACAATGTGAAATCTCTGAGGGCATCAGACATTGTAGGAGTCCATGCACTCCTGCATGTTCTTTTTCTGCAAACCTCACCAAAGGCTCACAGAAAAAATTAGGAAAAAAAAAAACCCTAAGAAATATTCATTGTTGCACAGGCCTGTAGGAAGAAAGCAACAGCTATATGAGATGGGCAAGAAACTTGTTAAAATTCTTCTCCTCTAGCGCCAATACAGGACAAAAGCCTATATGTTTGTGGGGAGAAGGGCAATGAATACTGTTGGTTTTAGGGAACTGATGAACAATAATCCCATTTAAGATAGTGGAATGAAGAATGGGTGTGATTATTCATTGAGCCTGTGTAAAACCTGGAAAGAAGCAAGATAACTAAGAAGGCATCTACCTGATGCTCTTCATTACAACACTACCATATCTACTGCCAGGGTAAGAAGCTTTGAATAACAAGTAACAGGAAAATATAGCTGAGATATGACAGGAGAGAAATAAAAATGTAGAAAGAAATTTTCCATGTCACATTATAAAGCAAAAACTTAAAACTCAGATTTTAAGAGACATTGCTTTGGTAAACTACTCCGCACCCTAGACATGAGGTGTCTGTACAAGAATTTGAAGCCTGTAGCATACTGGGGGTAATTGTAGAAGCAATAAATCTCAAACTCAGTCAAACATCTAGCTAGATTAGCCAAACATCCCCCAAGGCCCAAGCAGAATAAAAAAAATGTTCATCTACAAGCACAAAAAAATATTTAACTCAATATCTACTGTCTTAAGAAACATGTCCGAAATCCAATGAAAAATGTAAATACGAAATGGCAAGGAAAAACACACTGCTGAGAAAAAAATCATAATCAGAGCCAGATTCAAATATGACACAAATGTTGGGAATATCTGACAGGGAATTTAAAATAATCATGATTGATATGTTAAAGGTTCTAACAGAAAAGGTGAATAACAGGTAATTTTAGCAAAGATACAAAAAGTATCACAAAAAATCAAATAGAAATGCTACATTTAAAAAGCTTGGTAACAATAATGAAGAATGACTTTAACAAGCTTATCAGGATAAATTGGCTAACCAAGAAAAGAAGCAATAAATGTGAAGATATGTGACTAGAAATTATCCAAACTGAGGCCCGAAAAAAAAAAATTTACAAATTTAAAACAGAACATTCAAGATCTTTTGGACAATATCAAATGTTCTAATTTAAACATAATTTGAAATACTAAAAGACAGGATAAAGAGGATGGAGCAGAAGAAATATTTAAGGAAACGATGGCTGGAAATTTTTACCAAAATTAATGAAAGACACATATCTGAAAAGAAAAAAAATATAAAAACCAAGCAAACAAAAATTATCAATATCATATTCACACTGCTTATAGGAAAAGTCAAAGAAAAAAATCTTTAAGTTAGCTAAAGAAAAAAGAAACATTACACACACAGAAGAAGATAAAATCATTGCACACTTTTGTCAGTAACCATGCAAACAAAAAGACAATGGAATACTATGTGCTGATGAAAACACACACACACACACACACACACACACACACACACACTGACTCAGAATTCTATATCCATCAAATTTATCTCTTCAGAATGGAAAAGAGATAAAGCCTTTCTCAGCAAACAAGCATGGAAAGAATTCATTGCCAGCAGACCTATAAAAGTGTAGCTTAGGAGGACTTTTAGGGTCACGGAACTGTTGTCTATGGAAATGTAGTGATGGACATAAAGCTATATAAATTTGCCAAAATGCAAAGGAATGTAGATCAGAAAATGTAAATTTTACTAAAAGTACATTTTTTAAAAATCAACTAGCATGTGCAGTGAAACATGGAATGCAGACTGGACAAATTAAAAGCATTACAAATTCATCACATAATTAAATTGAAGGGCATAGGAAGAAAAATACTTCTGAAAAACTGTTTTGTCTGGGTACTGCAAGAATAAAGACAAATAACTGTATACAGACAATGTCTTCTAGTTGTTACATTTATTTTCTGCCAGTGTATGGTTTAGCACTTACTAAACTATTTGTATACTAAGGTTGATCATTGTAGATAATGAGATATAGGTTTTTCTCTGTCAGAGAAAGAAGTTAAAAGTTAGGCTGGGTAAATCTGTAATTAAGCTTGTGTTGCTGGATTGGAACTGGATATAACAATATAAGCTTACTTTAAAATTTTATGTGGAGAAAAAAATGGATGCAGAAATAAATTCAGATCTGTGTGCACACGCATTTCTTAGATTTATTTCTTAGATCCTGGACTTATTTCTTAGATACATATCTTAGATCTATTCGTTCAGAAGAGTGAGACGCAGTGATACCCCAGTAGCAATGAGCTACTCCTAGCACTCAGATCTGAATTTCAAATTCTCTAAACATGCTCTAATAAGAAGAACCAGTGCACCTTGAAGAGCTGACTGATTCCAGAGTTGGGGCAAAAAAAAAAAAAAAAAAGAAAGATGAGTCTGGAGTATCTGGTGATGTATGAAGTTAAGAAAGTGCATAAAAAGAGAGTTGGAAATTGAGGCACATTAAATACTGAAAGAGCACACAGAAGCCAGCTTGAAAGTTCCCAATAGCCATAGACTGAAGCAACAAAATAAATAACTATTGTATCGGATTATAACTCAAAGGTCAAAGTAGTTATGCATGAGATCGATAAGCAGATGGATAGATAGTTTAGGCAGATAGATATAGATAGATAGATAGATAGATAGATAGATAGATAGATAGATAGATATAATTAGGGAAAAAGCAACAGCTCTTTCTCTTAGAAGAATTTCAATTTTAAAATGAGAGAAACAGAAAATTACTGTTGGGGCCGGGCGCAGTGGCTCACGCCTGTAATCCCAGCACTTTGGGAGGCCGAGGTGGGTGGATCACCTGAGATCAGGAGTTCGAGACCAGCCTGGTCAACATGGATAAACCCCGTCTCTACTAAAAATACAAAATTAGCCAGGCGTGGTGGCGCATGCCTGTAATCCCAGCTACTCGGGAGGCTGAGACAGGAGAATCGCTTGAACACAGGAGACGGAGGTTGCTGTGAGCCGAGATCGCTCCATTGCACTCCAGCCTGGGCAACAGAGCGAGACTCCGTCTCAAAAAAAAAAAAAAAAAAAAGAAAAGAAAATTACTGTTGGAACAACATAGTAATAATTGTTGCAGGTATTATCCAGTGACAGACTCTAAAGTAGGTGAGTCAGAGTTTAGCACAAATAGGATGTTTGCATAGTCTCAAATTTCAGTCAATTCTCATTATTCACAGTAATAATATCATAGTCCTGTAATATCACCAGTGACACTGAATTAGCAAATACTAAACCATTGTTCCCAAAGAACAAAACAGGGTCAAATTCCTGTAAGATCCTGGTCACATTTTGTCAATGAATCAATACAGAACCCTGTTTGATGTATTTCTGTTTAAAGATGTTTTACCTAATATATATTGTTGATTTGTTAACATTGAGCTCAAAAACAACAGCACTATAACTCATAGCCAAATGAAGTTTATCTAACATATGATTTTCTCCATAAAGCACATCACAACCTTCTTGAACTTAGGGACACTAGACAGCACATCACCAACTTGTGGGCCATTTTAAACAGTGAAATCACCAATGAAAACACAATATTTAAAACATAGCATTAGACAGACTGAAAATAATGACACGTTTATAGTATGAGACCTAAAACAAGAAGGCAGATCATCAGCTTGTTTGATCTCAGTTGGGAATGTGAATGATAGGTTACAAATATTTTGCTGTTCTGTGTATGTCCATAAGTGACTGTAAAATTGACATAATTATTAATATTAGGTTTACAAATAAATTTTAGTGAGTAGGCAAATTCTCAAATATGAACTCTGTAAATGATGAGGATCAATTACCTTTTTTCCACAAAACTGTTTAGAAAATACAAAGGAAAACTAGTAAGCTTATACTGGAGTGTCCTGGCAGACACCGTGTTAGGCAAGTGATCAAGGTTAAACATCACCAGTTATGAATATGGACATTGTGTGCCTCTGATATTGAAGCATTTAGAAGGGCCCATCATCTCTGTAGTATCCTACCTATTCTAATAATTGCATAACCCCAATATGATTATTAGAATACATCAGACAAACCAAAATTGAAGAACATTCTAGAAAATGACTGACTAGTATTCTCCAAAAGTATCATGATCATGAAAAACAAGGAAAAAAATGGAGAACTGTCACATATTGGAGTAGACTACAGAACCATAACAAATAAGTGCATTATGAGATCCTGCATTGGATCATGGATCAGAATTTTTAAAAAATTTAATGTAAAACTGGTGAAATCTAAGTAAGTTCTGTAAATTAGTTGATAATATTATACCAAGATAAATTTATTGGTTTTGAACATTATACCATCGTTACATAAGACGTTAACAGAGAAAGCTGGGTGAACTCCATTATTTTCAAAACTCTTCTATTATTATAAAATTATTGAAAAAATCTGTTTTTAAAAAGGCTCATAAATAACACTTTATGGGACAAACTTTGCTCTAGATCAGCCATGTTCCTCTCATCTCCTAGAAATTACTGATCTTTTTACTGTTTCCATGGTTTTCTCTTTATCAGAATGTCATATAGCTGGAATTACACAGTATGGAACTTTTTCACATTGACTCTTCTCACTTATTAATATTCATTTAAGCTTCCTCTACATCTTTTCTTTATGTCTTTTCATGACTTAATAGCTCATTTCTTTTTAGCAAGGAATAATGTTTCATTGTCTAGATATAAGATACTTTATCCATTCACCTACTGAAGGCCATCTTGATTGCCCCCAAGTTCTGACCATTATGAATAAAGCTGCTATAAACATTTGTGTCCAAGTTTTTCTGTGGATATAAGTTGTAAACTTTCTTGCATAACTACCAAGAAATTTAACTGATGGATAGTATGGTAAGAAAGTATGGTAAGAATATATTTAGTTTTGTAAGGAACACCCAAACTGTCTTTCGAAGTAGCTGTACAATTGTGCATTCTCACTAGCAGTGACTGGGGGCTCCTCTTGCTCCACATTATCACCAGCATTTGGTGTTGTCAGTGTTTCAGATTTTGCCCATTCCAATATGTGTGTAGTTGTATCCCACTGTTGTTTAAACATTTAACTGATAACATATAATGTACAGCATCTTTTCTTGTGCTTATTTGTCACCTATTTTTTTGGAGACAGAGTCTCGCTCTGTCACCCAGGCTGGAGTGCAGTAGTACAATCTCGGCTCACTGCAGCCTCTGCCTCCTAGGTTCAAGCCATTCTCCTGCCTCAGCCTCTCGAGTAGCTGGGATTACAGGTGCCCACCACTGCACTGGGCTAATTTTTGTATATTTAGTAGAGACAGGGTTTCACCATATTGGCCAGGCTGGTCTCGAACTCCTGACCTCAGGTGATCCGCCCACCTCAGCCTCCCAAAGTGCTGGGATTACAGGCGTGAGCTACCACACCCGACCTATTTGTCATCTCTATATCTTCTTTTGTGAGGTGTCTGTTAAGATCTTTGGCCCGTTTCTTAATCTGGTTGTGTGTTTTCTTATTGTTCAGTTAGTTTCAAAATGTATTTGTATATTTTGAATCACAGTTCTTTATTACATGCATTTTTTGCAAATATTTTTGCAAAAATAAATGGCTTGTCTTCTCATTCTCATGACATTTTATTTTTCATATCAGAAGGTTTTAATTTTAATGAAGTGCAGCTTATCAATTATTTTCTTAATGGATTGTGCCTTTGGTGTTGTGTCTAAAAACTCATCTCCATACCCAAGTTGTGGTCATCTAGGTTTTCTCCTGTCTATTATTTAGTAATTTTATATCTTTGTATTTTACATTTAGATTTATGATCCATTTGGGTTAATTTTTTAAAGGATAAGGTCTGTATCTGGATTCATATATATTTTCTTTTTGCATGTGGATGTCCCTGTGTTCCAATACCATTCACTAAAAAGACTATTTTCGTTCCATTGCATTTTCTTTGCTCCTTTGTCTAAGAGCAATTGACTATATTTATGAGGGTCTACTTCTGGGATCTCTACCATGTTCTATTTAATCTATTTGTCTATTCTCTCATGATTATAACTCTTTATTACAGTGGCTTTATAGTAAGTCTTGAAGTCAGACAGTGTTGATGGATAGCAAAGTAGGGGCACTAATACTAATATGGCTCTGGGTACTTGACAGAATGTGGGATAGAAGCAGCCTATAGTTAATTTTATTTCAATGTTGCTGATTTCTAGCTTTCACCAACAAGAAGGCGACAGGAAATGGAGCGGCTTTGTGCAAAAATCATTGGACTGGTTGAGAGACCAGGTTTCAGTCCTAGCACTCCCACCAACAGGGCTGCTCACTTCACTACTTAAGTTCTTTCGACCTCGATTTTATTATTTGTGCAAAGAAGATATGTAACTAGAGGGCCTCTAAGATCCTTTAAAATTCTGATGTTCTCTGACTCTAAAATAAACCTACCTTGACGGCTTTTAGGAGGTGGCACTTCTGGGAATTCAAGAATAGGATATATCTAGTATATTGTTGATTTTTTCCACTGTGTATTCTCATAGTTTTAATTAGAAATTGAACATTTTGAAGTTCACAAAAACTAGAAACAGTTTTAATGTTAGTATAAAAGAGTTTAGTCTTTATTCACCTAATGGTATTTTGATAATTCGTGTAGTTTAACTATGTCACAGAGAAACTGAGTATGCAATAGTAATCACTTCCTGCAAATAGTGATTTTATAAATATTTTAAAGCAAATCCTGGGAATTTATCAAAATGAAAAAGTGTAATACAACTATAATGGGATTAAATTAAGATTAAAGCACCTTATTCATACATTTAAAGGTTTATATTATTATTTGTACACATAACAAAACTGTCATTAATTAGAGATATTACAGAACCCATGGGTTATATTCTAAATTGGATTGGTGAAGGATGAAACACAAAAAGGACCATTCAGTACAGGACTTCAGAAACTGATGAGGAATTTACTTCTGAGAGATACCAGTTAGAAGAAAGTATTTGTCCAAATGTTCTGAATTCACCATATACCATCAAGAGAACATCACTCATATAAAATGCTTTTTGTCACTGCTGAAGATAGAATTTTTTTTCAGTGAAATATGATACTGCAGGAATGGTAGAAAGCATTAAAGAATAGTTACCAAAGGATCAAAAAATGTGTGGAAGAAATACATACACGTAATACAAATTCATAATTTACATTTAATTAAACATAAGAGCAAATATTTATTTTTGTACCATCATTGGAGTTTGATTAAATTTCAGTAAGCAAAGAGGGTAACAGTAATCTACATTCTGGCAATAAGATAGTATCTCCTAATCATGGCAGTGTATCAGAGTGTCCATCACTTCATGAATTCTAGCCACTATCATCACTTGGTTAATAGTAGCTTAAAAAAATCCTACACTTTGCCCAGACATGCATGTTTAAGGTTGTACTCTGATGTTCATTTTATGTTATCCTAGTAGTCACCAATTTTCCAGTCAAAAAATAAATCTCTTTGCATGTCTCCAACTATGATTTATTGTTAATGATACTTATAATTGAATGTGTTAATCACTTTAAGGTTCAAATCAACAGTGGTACATACTGTACCCATATAACATATATTTTCCTCCTGAGTATATAAATTGGTTTTAGTCAAAATAAAATAATTTCCTTTCAATATTCTTATTTAGAGTTTGCCTTTTCATCTCTGTATTTAATTCATCAATATTGTCAATTCATCATTTGTTCTCATCATCTGAATAATAATTTTAGCTTCCTCCTGGAAGGAATACAATATATGTGAAACATAAAAATTAATTTAATGTTGCAAATATTTGTGAAATACAAATTTAGCAGCATTACTAAAAATCAGAATCCTTTAGTAATTATCAATTTATCAAAATCACTTTAAAAAAATTACAACATGATAAATTGCAATTGTACTGTCACCATTTTACCTCAAGAAATATCAATCAACTCTATTTAAAAAATTGTCTACCCTTATTTCTCTGTGAAATGTCAAAACGGACAGCCGAGGTTTTGGATACAGATGAGAAACCACAAATTTCATAGGTCTATCAAATTTTACAGAAAGGTAAATTACATAAAATCCCATTAGTTTAGTTTTTTTAAAAAAACCTTTGATGTCTGGTGTATTATTTCCACCCTGTAACAGGTTCGAGTCTCCATTTGAAGCCTCAAAATTGCTATCGGTGATCACTTTTCATTTCCTTGACTGATTCAAGATGGGTATCAAAGATTACTTGTAAAAGAAAGGGGAAATGTTTCACTCTTGTGAAAGCCAGAATTCATAGTTATTGATTGCATTTTCTTATGTAACAATGTATTAGAATTTCTCAAACTTTACTGGGTATAAAAATCACCTACCGAGCTTCTTAGAAAGAGAGATAATTAAGCCTGCCTCCTGAAATTCTGATTCATTCACTCTGGCTGGGGCCCAGAAAACTTCCTTTTTAAATCAAGAGCTTTAATTAAAAGCTAAAGGATTCATGGCTGGGCGTGGTGGCTCACGCCTGTAATCTCAGCACTTTGGGAGGCCGAGGCGGGCGGATCACGAGGTCAGGAGATCAAGACCACGGTGAAACCCCGTCTCTACTAAAAATACAAAAAAAATTAGCCAGGCGCGGTGGCAGGCACCTGTAGTCCCAGCTACTCGGGAGGCTGAGGCAGGAGAATGGTGTGATCCTGAGAGGCGGAGCTTGCAGTGAGCCAAGATGGTGCCACTGCACTCCAGCCTGGGCAACAGAGCGAGACTCCGCCTCAAAAGAAAAAAAAAAAAAAGCTAAGAGATTCAGAATCAGATGATTATGGGGCCATACTTTGAAAAACAACATATTTGTGGCAGGTATTTAAAAGTTGCAGAATATATGAGTTTTGACTTTCTGTTATGACTGGAATTTCAAACAACAATGACACTTTTCTATATACTATATAGTACTCAAAGACATTTTGCCAAAAATGAGACGTGTTCCTAAACCATCAATGAGTTCAAAGAGGAGAGATAAATTTTCACCATCTGCAGTACGTCTTACTTAAGATTGTTATTATTTTCCAAAATATTCACTATAAAAAGGGCTTATAGGAGTAGGTTTGCTTCCTTTTGTTCTTCTGCCTTCTGCCATGTGAGGACGCAGCAAGAATGCCCTTACCAGTATTGATAGCTTGATCTTGGACTTCCAAGCCTCCAGAAATGTGAGAAATAAATGTCTGTTTTTAATAAATCAGCCAGTCTATGATATTCTGTTATAGCAGCACAAAAGAGACTAAGACAGAATCCTTAGCAACAGAAATTAAGCTAGCAACAAAATTACATTTTGAATGTTAAACACGTAATCTATCTACAGTAATATTGTATGCAAGGCTTTCTAATTCCAAGTATGGAAATCAGATTTCAGGGAATTGAAGAAATACTATTTGGTAGGAAAGTTGTCTGTATGCCTCATTCAAACTGTGGAAATGGAAATGAAGAAATTAAAAGAAAGAGATGAAATGAACCGATTAAAGTGAAAATCATCAGATGGGGTTTAAAATGTTATATACTGTTTACAAGAGACACATCTAAAGCATATGGATACAGAAGAGTTCAAAGTAAATAAATGTATAGGTAAAAAAAAGCATTATTTGCAAATATAAAGCAAAAGAGAGTTTGTATAGTTAAATTCATACAGAACAAATTAGACTTTAAAAAAATGATTACTGAAAATAAAAGAAAACATTCTGTAATTATGAAAGTTTGAATTCACTAGAAGAATTGGTGTGTGGGTTTTTTGTTAAAAAAAGCTATTAAAAATTTGATAGAAATTGTATTGAATCTACATATTGCACTGGGTAGCCTGGGCATTTTAACAATATTAATTTTTACAGTCCATGAGCATGGAATATATTTTCACTTATTTATATTTTCTTCAATTTCTTTCATCAATGTCTTTATAGTTTTCAGTGTACAGATATTTCACTACTTTGATTAAATGTATTCCTAAATATTGCATTATTTTTGGTGCTATTCTAAATGAAACTGTTTTCTTCAGTCCATTTTTTGAATAGCTCACTGTTAGTACAGAAACACAACTGATTTTTATATACTGATGCTGTATCCTGCAACCTTACTCAAATCATTTACTAGTTGTAACAGCTTTATGGTGAACTCTTTAGGGTTTTCTTTTTTTTTTGATACGGAGTTTTGCTCTTATTGCCCAGGCTGGAGTGCAATGGTGTGATCTCAGCTCACTGCAACCTCTGCCTCCCGGATTCAAGCGATTTTCCTGCCTCAGCCTCCCAAGTAGCTGGGATTACAGGCACGCGCCAGCACACCTGGCTAATTTTTGTATTTTTAGTAGAGACGGGGTTTCTCCGTGTTGGTCAGGCTGGTCTGGAACTCCCAACCTCAGGTGATCCACCACCTCGGCCTCCCAAAGTACCAGGATTACAGGTGTGAGCCACCGTGCCCAGCCAGGGTTTTCTTTCTATGAGAACATGTCACCTGTGACTAGAAAGAGGTTTTATTCTTTGTTTCCAATGCGTATGCCCTTTATTTCTTTTTCTTACCTAATCGCTCTGGCTAGAACTTCAAGTATAATGTTTAATAAATGTGTCAAAGTAGGCATCCTCTTTTTCTTAATCTTAGAAAAAAAGTATTCTGACTTTCACCATTAAATATTATGTTAGCTGTAGATGTATTGTCTATCATGTTCAGAAAGTTTCTTTCTATTCCAAGATCGTGGATTGTGTGATGATGAGTATTATTGTTGTTGGGTTTTTGGTTATTTGCTTGTTTACCTTCATTCCACTAATGTGGCATATTACATTGATTAATTTTTAATAGTTAAACCAATTTACATTATTGAGATAAATTTCTGTTTGTCATGGTGTTTAATCTGTTTAATAGGTTGGTGAACTCAGTTGGCTAGTATTTTTCCCAGAACTTTTGCATCTATATTCTTCGGAAGTATTGGTCTGTGGTTTTATTTCTTTGGTCTTTAAATGTTAGGGAAAATTCTCCGTGAACATATCTGAGCCTGGGCTTTTATTAGTTGGAAGATTTTTATTTACTGATTTCATCTCTATGCTTGTTATAGGATTAAGATTTTACTTTTCTTCTTGAGTCAGTTTTGGTGGTTTGTGTATTTCTAGAAGTGTGCCTATCTCTTCTAGATTATCTAATTTGTTGACATACAAGTATTCATAGTGTTCTCATAGATTTTTTTATCTGTAAGGTCAGTAGTAATATCGCCACTTTCATTTCTGATTTTAGTAAATCGAATCTTACCCTTTTTGTTCTCAATTTAACTTATAGTTTGTTGATTTTATCTTCAAAGAATCAACATCTACTTTTGTTTATTCTACTGATTACTCATTCTATATTTGTTTATCCCTATTCTAACCATTATTATTTCTTTCTTTCTGTGAGATTTCTATTTAGCTTATTCGTCTTTTTCTACTATAGGACTTTATAGCCATAATTTTTTCTCTGAGCACTACCTCGCTAAATTCCATAAATTTTGGTGTGTTATGTTTCTATTTTCATTCATTAAAAGTATTTTCTATTTTCTTTTGTGATTTCTTTGCCAACCCATATGTTAGTTAAGAATGCACTGTTTGGTGGTGCAGCAGCCCACCTGAAAGCCACATGGGGCAGGGGAGCCCCCACCCCCCAGCCAAGGGAAGGAGTGAGTGAGCCTGCTACTCAGCCAGGGAAACCATGCTTTTTCCACGGAATTGTGCAACCCACGGATCAGAAGATCCCACTCCTGAACCCATGCCACCAGGGCCTAGGGTCCCGACCCAGGAGCCATGCAGATTCTCAACAGCCTCTCAGCTAGAATCTGCTTAAGCCTGCCAAGTGCCCAGAGGGAGGGGCAACCAGCATCACAGCTGCAGCTGCCTGCTGTCTAAGCCACTTGAGCTCCTTCAGGGAGGGGCAGCAGCCAGCACTGGGACTCATAACTGCCTAACACGCTAAGTTCCCTGGGCTAGGGAAGGGCAGCATCCATCTCTATACCTCCAGGTCATGCTTTTCCCCTGCTAGAGCCAGGGAGGCTGGACGGCCTTGTTCCAAGAGGTGTCCCCCACATCCCAACACACCGGCTATGGCAGACTGCAGCCCGAGCACCTCTTCAGACCTGACCCTGACTCATCCTTCCTTACTGGGTGGGGCCTCCCTGCAGGAACTCCAGCAACTCCAGTCAGAGGCTCAGGGACAGAACCCTGATCTCCCTGGGCCAGAGCCCCTAGGGGGTGGAGGGGTGGCCATAGTCTCTGTGGACCAGCACACTTAGCCTTTCCTCCTGGTAGTTCTGAGGAATCCAGGCAGCCCAAACGAGTGGGTTTCCCCCTAGCAAAGCACACCTCCTCCACCAAGAGACAGTCAAAGTTCTTCACTAAATGGGTCCTGTTCCCTGTGCCACCCAACTGGATGAGACCTTCCAACAGGGGTTGTCAGACACTCTATACAGGAGTGATCTATTGTCATCAGGTTGGTGCCCCTCGAGGTCAGAGATCCCAGAAAAAGGAACAGGTACCCAACTTTGCTGTTCTCCAGCCTCCTTGAGTAACATCTCCAGGTGCAGGAGCAAAACAGATGATTACAGCCTGAAGTGAACCCCCAGCAAACCTCAGCAGCCCTACAGAAGAGGGACCTGACCACTGAAAGAAAAACAAACAAACAGAAAGCAATGACAACAGCATCAACAACAACAAAAAGTCCCTGCAAAAACCCCATCCAAGGGTCAACAGCCTTAAAGATCAAAACTAGACAAACTCATGAAGGTGAGAAAGAATCAATGAAAAAACACTGAAAACACAAAAGGCCAGAGTGCCTCTTCTCCACATGATTGCAATGCCTCTCCAGCAAGGGTGCAGAACTGGACACAGGATGAGATGGATGAATTGACAGAAGTAGGCTTCAGAAAATGGGTAATAAAAAACTCCACTGAGCTAAAGGAGCATGTTCTAACCCAATGCAAAGAAGCTAAGAACCTTGATAAAAGGGTAGAGGAGCTGCTAACTAGAACACCCAGTTTAGAGAGGAACATAAATTACCTGATGGAGCTGAAAAACACATCATGAGAAGTTCATGAAGCATACACAAGTATCAATAGCTGAATTGACCAAGTGGAAGAAAGGATATCAGAGTTTGAAGACCACCTTGCTGAAATAAGCATGCAGACAAGATTAGAGAAAAAATAATGAAAAGGAACTAACAAAGCCTCCAAAAAATACAGGACTATGTAAAAAGATTGAACCTCCAATTTATTGGAGTACCCAAAGGAGACGAGGAGAATAGAAACAAGCTGGAAAACACACCTCAGGATATTACCCAGGATAACTTAGCCAACCTAGCAAGGCAGGCCAACATTCAAATTCAGGAAATTCCAGAGAACACCACTAAGATACTCCATGAGAAGATCAACCCCAAAACACATAATCATCAGATTCTCCAAGGTCAAAATGGAGGAAAAAATGTTAAGGGCAGCCAGAGAGAAAGCCCAGGTCACCTACAAAGAGAAGCCCATCAGATTAACAGTGGCCCTTTCAGCAGAAACCCCATAAGCCAGAAGAGATTGGGGGCCAATATTGAACATTCTTAAAGAAAAGAATTTTCAATCCAGAATTCATATCCAGCCAAACTAAGCTTCATAAGCGAAGAAAAAATAAAATCCTTTCCAGACAAGCAAATGCTGAGGCATTTTGTCACCACCAGTCCTGCCTTGGCAAAAGCTCCTGAAAGAAGTGCTACATGTGGAAAGGAAAAACCAGTACCAACCACTGCAAAAAACACACCAAAATATAAAGACCAATGACACTATGAAGAAACTGCATCAACTAGTGTGCAAAATAACCAACTAGCATCATGATGACAGGATCAAATTCACAATAACATAACAATACTAACCTTAAATGTAAATGGGCTAAATGCCCCAATTAAAAGACACAGACTGGCAAATCAGAGAAAGAGTCAAGACCCATTGGTGTGCTGTATTCAGGAGACCCATCTCACGTGCAAAGATGCAGATGGGCTCAAAATAAAGGGATGGAGGAAAATTTACCAAGCAAATGGAAAGCAAAGAAAAAACAATCCTAGTCTCTGACAAAACAGACTTTAAACCAACAAATACCAAAAAAGACAAAGAAGGGCATTATGTAATGGTGAAGGGATCAATTCAACAAGAAGAGCTAACTATCCTTAATATATATGTACCCAATACAGGAGTACCCAGATTCATAAAACAAGTTCTTAGACACCTGCAAAGAGACTTAGACTCCCACACAATAATAGTTCTGGCAAAGTCAATGTTGAATGTGTATGTTGATAGAAATAATCCAGTAAAAATTTTAAATTAGTATAGAGAAGATCCGAACCAAATCAGGCTGATCAATGTAAGGGAATAAACAGACAATTTGACTCTGATTTTTCTCTATATTCTTAGTTAAGCACAAAAGAAGAATATCAGCTAAGAGTAAGAAAGGAAGGGAGTGCTGGATGTCACTAGTAGTGATCAGGTTTCAAATTACTGTAGGAAACTTTACTATAGCAAATATTACTAAAGGAAAACCATCTCTCATCAAAAGGTCATCACTCTCTCAGAATTTACCTATGCAAAAACACACCAAAATATAAAGACCAATGACACTATGAAGAAATTGTATCAACTAGTGTGCAAAATAACCAATAATAAATAAAATCTATTTGCTTTTCTCTCAATCTACTCATCTACATATACATCTACCAATCTACCTCTTGTAATGTCGTCATATCCTATAATTTCCTAGGTAGATATTAGTCCTCTCTGTTACAATAAGCACCTATATTACTGAAGATAAGCAAATTGCATTAAATAACAAGAAAGAGAAACTATATTACTCCTTAAGCTTTGTTTCACAAACCAGACCTTTATAAGCTATTTCAGTAGGTTCTATTTTTTGTTGTTGTTTCCTTCACACAGAAAAAAAATACTTTACTGGTATAACAAGGTCTAAATTACAGACTGTAGAGATTTTTCCAAAGGGCAGGCATCCAGGCATCATTGAATAACAAGAACTATAGCTTTATGTTTTAAAATAAAATCAGCTGTTTCGCTGATTAGGTAGAAAATCCAACTGCTTCATGCTGTAAATAATAATTACAAATCTATATTACTGGAATCTGAGCTCAGTTGGGGAGAAAATTGGCCATTACATGTAATAAGAAGTAAAATTTTATAAAATATGTAAAACCCAACTGGGCACTGTGGCTCATGCCTGCAATCCCAGCACTTTGGGAGGCCGAGGTGGGTGGATTACCTGAGGTCAGGAGTTTGAGACAAACCTGGCCAACATGGCAAAACCCCATTTCTACTAAAAGTACAAAAATTAGGTGGGTGTGGTGGCAGGCACCTGTAATCCCAGCTACTCAGGAGGCTGATGCAGGAGAATTGCTTGAACCTGAAAGGCAGAGGTTGCAGTGAGCTGAGATCATGCCATTGCACTCCAGCCTGGGCGACAAGAGTAAAACTCCGTCTCAAAAAAAAAAAAAAAAGTGTAAAACACATGCTTAGATGTTATCAGTATTTAATAAACATTCATGGCAATGGCAATTATCCGTGGACCTTGATGTGCTTTATGTCAGGCCACAGCACACATCATTAAATGTCACTAAACACTGTGCTCTTAAAGATAATTTCCAATTCAAAAAATAGCAATATTTTATTTCAAAAAAGTTCTTATTTTTCCAGAAAACATTTTTCTTATCGATTGTCAAACTACATAATATATGTTAACAAAAATCAACATTATGAGACATGATGACAATTATCCCCCATAGGAAAATAAATTAAATTTCCTCTTTGCTAAATACTCACTAAAGCCCTACAATTCAATCTCTGATTATCAGTAATTAAATAAGCACAGATGATGCATATTTTATCTTTTAGAAATAGTGTAGAGTTTCCAAAAACACTGCAAATTTTTATCCATTTGATTACTTGCTCAGCTTATTACATCCCTTCCCAGAGCCAATATATTTGAGATAGTTCTAATTTTTTTAGAATGTGTTTTTCTTGTATAACATTTGATTTATGAAAAAGTTTTTTCCTAACAGAAATTAGTTCATTGCAATAATAAAATGCATATAAAATTTACACATATATTTAAATTAAAGGAAATGTATTATAATTAAGTTAATTATATTTAGGGAAATTATTAAGTATTATATGATATATGTCAAGATCCAATATATTAATAAGTGAAATTAATGAAATAAATTCCAACTAATTAACTAGTTAGAATCACTGCTTTGTGCTTTGAATATATTATCTACTACTTGTAGTAAAGTTGCAAAACAAACAAAAAAACCCAAATGTATTTAAAAATGTAAAACTTCCAGTTAGACATTTATAGTCACAAAATGGAATTAATTTTAAAATATTTTTAATATAAATTTCATTTTTACATTTTTTTACAGTTGCAAAAATTGTGCATTTATTTGTGTGTGTTGGAATAATTATGGTCTCACTCTATGCCCCAATGTCATGAAGTGTGTTGTTTTCCTCTCTATTGTCTTCCAAACTTGGAATAATGCCTAAAAGAAATGTTGGTTAAATGAATGAAGATGAATGAACATGCATCTTGGAATAATCTTTTACTTTATAGATATAAATATTTGTGTAGGCAAAAAATTTACAAAATAAGTAATACTTTATGGTGAAAAATAATATTAATCTCTAGTTTCTAATGACTAAATAGGTAAATGAGTCAGTGTTCATTCATTCAACAAATATTTTTTATTCAATGTTTACTATATGCATTCCAGTGTTAGCATCAAAGATACAGCATTAGCAGATATTTATCCAAACCCCAACCTCTTTGAATATAAATTTTTGTAGTGGAAAAAAGATAACGAGCAAATAATTAAAATACATTTTATGTCAGATTGTGATCATTGATATGGACAAAAATAAATTAATGGATAAAAATTATATGAACTTTGAGATTGAGATTTTTTTTTTTTTTTTTTTTTTTTGAGACAGAGTTTCACTCTTGTTGCCCAGGCTGGAGTGCAATGGCGCGATCTCGGCTCACCGCAACCTCCACCTCCCGGGTTCAAGTGATTCTACTGCCTCAGCCTCCTAAGCAGCTGGGATTACAGGCATGCGTCACCACACCCAGCTAATTTTGTATTTTTTAGTAGAGATGGGGTTTCTCCATGTTGGTCAGGCTGGTCTTGAACTCCCGACCTCAGGTGATCCACCCGCTTCGGCCTCCTAACGTTAACGTGCTGGGATTATAGGCGTAAGCCCCCATGCCCGGCCAGGGATTGAGATTTTTAAGGTGAAGGAATAATTTACTAAGAACATAACGTTTGAGCAAATACCTAAATAAAGTAAGAGAATGAGCCCTATGTTTATCTAGGTGAAGAGAACTCCTGGAATATGAAACAAAAATAAAAAACTACAGCAACCCTGAGGTTGATTATTCAAGGTAAATTATGGCAGCTCGACAGGGGAGAGATCATGGAATAAGAGGAACAAGAGTAGTAAGAGATAAAATTGTCAAAGAAAAGAGTCAAACTCTGTAAAATATCCAAAGAGATTTATTCTGAGCCAAATATGAGTGACCATGGCCTGTGGCACAGCCCTCAGGAGGTCCTGAGAACATGTGCCCAGCTCATGGGGGCACAGCTTGGTTTTATATATTTTAGGGAGGCATGAGACATCAATCAAATACATTTAAGAAATACATTGGTTTTGTCCAGAAAGGTGGGACTACTCAAAGCAGGGGCTTCCAAGCTATAGGCAAATTTAAACATTTTCTGGTTGACAATTGGTTGAGTTTATCAAAAAACCTGGGATCACAGAAAGGAAATGTTCAGGTTAAGATAAAAGATTGTGAAGACCAAGGTTCTTTTGAAGTCTTATAGTGGCTGCCCTTGGAGACAATAGATGACAAATGCTTCCTGTTCAAATCTTTAAAAGGTGCTAGACTCTTAGTTAATCTCTTTAGGATTGGGTGGGCCTGGAAGAAAAAAATTCTAGCTATGTTAATAGAGATTGTTTACAGATGCAAATATTCCCTCACAAAGGACTTTGCAGGGCCATTTCAAGATATGGCAAAGAAACACGTTTTGGGGTAAAATATTTTGATTTTCTTCCTTGTCTCATAACGTTATGCCAGAGTCAGATTGGAAAGTAAGTCATGATATATAGGATTAAATAAAACCCATCTGATGAGAATTTATTATTTGTAGGGCTTGACTCCCCAGACCCCTTAGATAGGAATTTGGGAAAGAGAAAAAAATCAGAGTTTAGTCCTGAAAATCAAATGAAGTATCTGGTTTATGGTAAAGAATTTTGAGTTAATTTTTGAATGAACTTTGAATGAGATGGGAAGTAGTGGGAGAGCGTGGAGCAAGGAAGAGACCTGATTTGACTTCAGCTGTTAAAATTTTTCTCTTTGTTGGTAGAATAGAGTTTGGAGAACAGAGAAAGCAGGAAGAGCAGATAGGAGGCTATTGGGATGATTTAGGTGTGTCATAAGGTGAAAGCTGGGACTAGTGTGGTAGAATATGTTGTGGTAAGAAGACAATGATTCTGGGCCGGGCGTGGTGGCTCACACCTGTAATCCCAGCATTTGGGAGGCTGAGGTGGGCGGATCCCGAGGTCAAGAGACATAGACAATCCTGGACAACATGGGGAAACTCCGTCTCTACTAAAAATACAAAAATTAGCTGGGCGCAGTGGCACACGCCTGTAGTCCCAGCTACTTGGGAGGCTGAGGCAGGAGAATTGCTTGAACCCGGAAGGCAGAGGTTGCAGTGAGCGAAGATTGTGCCACTACACTCCAGCCTGGAGACAGAGAGGGACTGTGTCTCAAAAAAGAAAAAAAAAAAAGAGACAGTGATTCTGGATATATGTTGCAAACAGAGTCAACAGGATTAGTTAAAAGATTACTTGAGGGAAAAGACAAGGATCAAGTTGCTACTAATGAAAAAGACTATAGAAAGAGGTGGTTTAAAGAGGGAGAGCAGGAAGTTAGTTTAGAACATGTTAAATTTTAAGATTTCCATTAGCTATCCAAATAGAGATAATGTGTAGGCCACTGAATATTCGATCACAAACTTCAGAAATTTGTACAGGCTGAAAAAAGAAATCTGAAAGTTACTCGCATATAAATGATTATTTGAAGCCATGAGGCTTGATGAAATCACTTAAGATATGCTTGTAGAAAAAGAAGATAAGATATTGAAAGGCTGAGTTCTGGAATACTTTGACATTTAGAGGATGTGAGAAGAGGAACAATAAGCAAAATATATTAATGCTGTGAGAAGAAAGGTAAGAAGAAAATGAGGGCTGTATTGTGTCTTAGAAGGCAAGTGAAAAACTGTTTCAGGGGTAGCAGATGATTTTTTTTGATGGCCTATAATTCAAATCTGGGAAGTGTTTAGGAGAGAGGAAAGTTGTGGAAGAGAAAAGAGCTACTATATGTAATGTCTGGGCAGAGGAAGCATTGCCCTCATAGGTGAGAGTCACTTTTCAGCTAGAGAAAGAAGATACAGGGAACATACAGAAAAGTTGATAAAGGGATATAGGTGATTTTCCCAATGACAGATTGCAGTTTACAGAAGATGGTGTTGTAGGGCTTTAGAATTTGGAAATGGGTGAGAATTCTGGTCAGAAATGTAGATGTACACTACCCTGGGGGAAAAGGGTACAGAGAATTAGGGATGACCTATAAAACTTGTTTCCTTGTGGTGACAGATATAACAGGGATAAATCCATAATGAAATGTTTCCTGATAGAAGGAAGATAGATAGTTATAGTAAGATCTCATCGCCTTCCATTATTTTGGAGGGTGAGCCTTTGGGGATGAGAAAAAATGGGGAGCTTTGCAAACATACACTACATATAAGGGGCCACTAATGGTTTGAAAATAATCCACCAATTATTTAATACTTCTTAACTACCTAAATGTAGGGGTGTGTGTGTGTGTGTGTAGGTACAGATATAGATATAGATCTTCTTATATATGAGCTTAATATTCTCCAAACTCAGCCCTCACAAATAACAAACCAATGTCATATGTGGAAAGCTTATTAATATGCCCAAGAATTCAGTGTTTGGGTATAAAATGAATGTCTCACCATTTACCTTTTTCTTTCTATCAATTTTCTTCCTGATAGAACTTGTGGTAAATATCACAATACCATTTATGGGTGACAGCAAGATAAACGGAACTCAATAATTACTCTGTCTGTTCCTATCAAGATGGCAGAGGCCCTAGTACCTGCCCAGTTGCTATAGAAAAGGATATTCATTTTAGCTACCACAACTCAGGAAAAATAAATAGCAACAAAAGGTAGGAGTGATTGTACCTAGCCAAAATAAGAAAATCCAAAAATGAAGGCTTTTCAAAAATAAAATGCATTCATCATTTCCCTTATATGAGATAACCAGAAAATTGTAAATCTAATCCATTCTAAAAGATTAAATGATGATTGGCTCACAGAGCTGGTAATGATAGAGATTTTTATTTGTGTACTTATTTCCTCCTCATAGAGATCATGGCAACTTGTATTCATTTGTATTACTTTTAGACCTATAAAGATAGTGATACCAGCTAAAAGAAGAAAAAGACAACCATTTCATGTTATGTGTAATTGGATATTTGACATTTTAGATAGAGTTCTGATTATACTTGACAGATGTATTTTTATTTTCATTTTATACTCTCTTTTTAACAAGCATAGTTTATTTTTCTTGATTTTTTTCTCTAAAATAAATGTTTGAAATAGTAGAAGATTTTAATTTCATTTTTCTGAATGTAATATTTATGCTAGAATTAAAATTTGAAAGACATTAATTGTATACATTCAAAAACAAAGGTAATGAGAAACAATATTCACGTATAATAATACAGGATTTTTAGTTTTTTAAGAATGTACCAGATGCAAAAGGAATGGGTTAGTACAACCCTTAGTTTATCAGAGTCTAATAAGTCTTTTTTTTAATGCTGTCTACAAAATTACATTAAGCTTCTAAAAAAAATCACCCATTTTAGCTAAAGCAATCACAACCTTTATTTTCTCTCCAAACTTTCTTGTACATTGTCCACCTCTTGAGACTAAAGTGAGAAAATATTTTACCATATCCATGGATTTCAAAGGGGAAAAATACAGGCAAAAGAAACATTATTTCCCAGTGATCTCCACTATGCTTTCACAGATTTCTTTTTGGTCATATAAGCCTGTGAATCATCACCCAATTTTTAGCACACTTTATTTTGTTTCCTCCAAGACAGGCACTCGAAATATAATCTCAATATATTAAAGATATTGATAGACAAGTAATACTTGAAAAAGCATGTTTCATTTTGCAAAACCAAATCCCACTCTCTTATTCTCAGCTCCTTTTGTTCTGAAGTTGGTAAAAATGTGTATAATTTGCCTTTCATTCTACTATCTGAGCATTTTTATTTTAAATTTTTATTGTGTATGCTACTTCTACCACTTAATAAGAAAAGTGTTCCATTTTTTAAGAAACAGAAAAGTATTCTCAACTTAGCATAAAGATTAGAAAAAAGGAAACAAACCTACAGAGAACTGAATTATTAACTGACATCATTAACCAAACCAAAGGACAACAGTATTTTTGAGTTCTAATTGAATGATCCACAAGTATAACCACCTTCTGAATGCAAAAAATATATTCTAGACATACTTAACAGATTGTCCTCCAACAACTCTTTGAAAACATCATCTAATGAGGAGTTTGTATTTCTTAACACATCTTTTTCCTTTATGGAGTAAAACTGGACAATTCTTTTTGTGTTTTAGTTCCACATCTCACTGCCTGGAACTTTCAGTCTCTGGTTGAAGTTCTAGTCTTAGAGCAATGTACACTATTAATCTTCCCTTTCCACACTTAAAAAGACACTTTTGCAAGTTCACTATCATTTGTTCTCTCAAGCAATGAACACAGTTCTGTGAATTTTCCAATATTGTGCTAGTTCGCTAGATCTCCAAGGATTTAAGATCCTATCTTGTGTTTTCTAGGTCCTTCTGTAGTAGACCAATCATGAATAAGGTAAGCTAGTTGCTTTTACATTTTAGCAATGATGAGTGATCATGTGGATCTCCAAATACCGTCCCTGAATTTTTATTTCCTTGGACTACCTGTCCATTGAAATACAGCCATTACTACCTAGATTACAACATACTGACCATTGTAATATCTCAGTCTGTTGAGAGGTTGTAACAAAATATCTTACACTGGGTGATTTATAAATAATAGAAATGTATTTGTCACAGTTCTGGAAGCTGGGAAGTACAAGATCAAAGTGCCAGCAAATTCAGTGTCTGATGAGAGTATGTTTCTCATAGGTGCCACCTTCTCTGTGTGTTCACATCACAGGCAGAGTTTCACACTGCAGGCAGAGTAAAAGGGAAAAACTCACTCTCTCAAGCCCTTTTATCAAGGCACTAATCCCATCCATGAGGACGTAACCTTCATGACCTAATCATTTTCCAAAAGCCCCATCTCTTAATACCATCAACGTGGGGTTAAGTTCCAACTTTGGGAGAGACACCAACATTCAGACTATAGCATTCTTCCCCTGGCTTCCCAAAATTCATGTCTTTCTCATATAAAAAATGTTATTCCAATAGCCCCAATAGTCTTAACACAATCTCGCATCAATATTAAAGTCTAAGTCCAAAGTGTCATGTAAATATCACCTAAATCAGATATGGGTAAGACTCAAGGAATAATTCATCCTGAGGCAAATTTTCCTTCCCCTGTGAGCCTATGAAATCGAATAGGTTATGTGCTTCCAAAGTACAATGCTTAGACAGGCATAAAGTAGACATTCCCATTCCAAAAGAGAGAAATAGAAAAGCAGAAAAGAGCAACAGGTCCTGACCAAATTCAAAACCCAATACAGCAAACAATATTAAATCTTAATAATTTAGTGGTGTGATCTCGGCTCACTGCAACCTTCACCTCCTGGGTTCAAGCAATTTTCCTGCCTCAGCCTCCCGAGTAGCTGGGACTACAGGCACGTGCCACCATGCCCGGCTAATTTTTGTATTTTTATTTGAGATGGGGTTTCACCATGTTGGCCAGGCTGGTCTCAAACTCCTGACCTTGTGATCCACCTGCCTCGGCCTCCCAAAGTGCTGAGATTACAGGCATGAGCCAACATGCCCAGCCTTTATTCAGATTTTCTATTTCATCAGGATACAGTTTTAATAAGTTATGTGTTTCTAGAAATGTATCAATTTCTTCTAAGTTTTCCAACTTGTTGGCACGTAATTGTTCATAGTTTCTTATCCTTTATATTTCTGTAGTATCAGTTGTGATATGTCCTCTTTCATTTTTGATTTTATTCATTTGAGTCTTCCTTCTTTTTCTTTTAGTATAGGTAAAGTTTTTTGATTTTGTGCATCTTATTTTAATATTAAAATATTAAATGAAACCACTTAATTTCATTTGTATTTTCTATTGTTTTTCTAGTCCCTATTTATTTCTCTGAACTTTATTATAATTTCCTTCCTTCTATTATGTTTGGCTGAATTCTTCTTTTTCTAGTTCCTTGAGATGTTATGTTAGGTTATTTATTTGATTTTTTTGTTTTGTTTTCTAATGTAGAGGTTTACTACTATATATTTGTCTTTAGAACTGCCTTTGCTATGTTCCATAAATTTTGGTATGTTTGTGTCAGAGTATGCTGACACATGTATATCTCAAGACATTTTTTTTTTTTTTGAGACAGAGTCTCACTCTGTCACCCAGGCTGGAGTGCAGTGGTGCAATCTTGGCTCATTGCAAACTCCGCCTCCCGGATTCATGCCATGCTTCTGCCTCAGCCCCCTGAGTAGCTGGGACTACAAGCGCCCGCCACCATGCCTGGCTAATTTTTTGTATTTTTTATTAGAGACGGGGTTTCACCGTGTTAGCCAGGATGGTCTCGATCTCCTGACCTTGTGATCTGCCCACCTCGGCCTCCCAAAGTGCTGGGATTACAGGCGTGAGCCACCACGCCTGGCCATCTCAAGATATTTTTTATTTCCCTCTTAATTTATTCTTTGACCCATGAGGTATGCAAGAACAGGCGTTCAGGAGTATGTTGTTTAATTTCCACACATTTGTGGATTTTCTAAAATTCCTCTTATTAATGATTTCTAATTTCATACCATTGTGGTCAGAAAAGATAATTTATATAATCTTAATCTTAAAATTGTTAAGACTTGTTTTGTGCCCTAGGATATGATCTATCCTGGAGAATTTTTTGTGTACTTGAACAAGTCTGTATTCTGTAGCTTTGGAATAAAATGTACATATCTTTTAGGTACATTTGATCTACGGTATTGTTCAAGTCTGTTGCTTCTTTATTGATTTTCTGTATGGATGTTCTATCCATTATTAAATGTGGGTATTGAACTCTGCCACTCTTATTGTGTTACTGTCTATTTCTTCCTTTGGTTCTGCTAATGCTTGCTTCACATATTTAGGTGCTACAATGTTGGGTACATATATATTTGCAATTATTATAACCTCTTGATGAAATGATCTCTTAATCATCTCTTATGATGACTTTCTTTGTCACTGGTGACAGCTCTTGACCTAAAGTTTATTTTGTCTGATGTACATATAGCCATTAGTGATCTCTTTTGACTACCATTTGCTTGGGCATGTAATATGTTTTTCTATTCCTGCACTTTCACTCTGTGTGCTCTTAAAACTAAAGGGAGTGTCTTGGAGGCAGTATATAGTTAGACCTCACAATTTTAGATATTCAGCAATTCTGGGTCATTTTATTGAATAATTTAATACATTTACATTTAAAGTAATTATCAATATAGGTAGGGACTTACTATTGTCATTTTGTTCATTGTTTTCTGCCTGGTTTGTTGTTTACATTCCTTTCTTCTCTTGCTGTCTTCCTTTGTGACTTGATTCTTTGTAGTGTTATGCTTTGATTCCTTTCTCTTTATTTTTTATATATCTACGAGAGTTTTGTTTTCTTTGTGATTACCACAAGGCTTCCAGAAAATGCATTATAGCTATAACGGTTTATTTTGAGCTGATAACAACTTAATTTCAACCGCATACAAAAAAATCTACATTTTAACTTTTTCCCTCCACATTTTATATTATTGATGTTGCAATTTACATTTTTTTGTGAATTGAATAGCCACACAAATATTAATAAATTATCATAGCTATAATTACTTTAATACTTTTGTCTTTTTTTTTCTTTTTTTTTTTTTTGAGATGGAGTCTTGCTCTGTCACCCAGGCTGGAGTGCAGTGGCGCAATCTCGGCTCACTGCAAGCTCCGCCTCCTAGATTCTCCTGCCTCAGCCTCCCGAGTAGTTGGGACTACAGGCGCCCACCACCACACCTGGCAATTTTTTGTATTTTTAGTAGAGACGGGGTTTCACTGTGTTAGCTAGGATGGTCTCCATCTCTTGACCTGGTGATCCGCCCACCTTGGCCTCCCAAAGTGCTGGGATTACAGGTGTGAGCCACTGTGCCTGGCCACTTTTGTCTTTTATACTAGAGTTAAACGTTTCTTAAGCACCACCCTTAGAGTATTAGAGTATTGTGAATTTGACTATATTCTTACCTTCACAGTGAGTTTTAAAACTTTTAAATATTTTCATGCTTTCTTTTGTTTCAACCTGCATAACTTTAAGATTTCTTATAGAACAGGTTCAGTGGTAGTGAACTCCATTAACTTTTTTTGTCTAAAAAAGTTTCATTTCTCCTTCATTTCTGAAGGACGCTTTATGCAGCATGGTATTGTTGGTTGGTATTTGTGTGTATGTATATTTTAGCTCTTTTAATATATCATCCCACAGTTTCCTGGCCTGCAGGTTTTCTGCTGAGAAATATGCTGATAATCTTATCATGGTTCTCCTGCATGTTACAAGAAACATTTCTCTTGCTGTTATCAAAATTCTTTTGTGTGACTATTGAGGATTTGATTATAATGTGTCTCAGTGAAGACCTCTTTATGTTGAAGCCATTTGATGCTTTTGGGCTTCATGGATTGAGAGGTTCATGTCTCTCTCCAGTTTTGGGGAACGTTTCTGTTGTTATTTCTTTAAATAAGCTTTCTGCCCTTTTTTCTTTATCTGTTTCTTCTTCAACTCTCATAATGCATATATTGACTTCTTGAGAGTGTCCCATAAGCTCTCTGGGTTTTCTTTACCATTTTTAATTCTTTTTTCTATTTATTCCTCTGATAGTGTAATTTCAAATGACCTATCTTCGAACTCACTTCTTCTTTCTTTTGTTTAATTACATATACTGTTGAAACTCTCCATAACATTTTTCAGAAGGGCCAGGTGCAGTGGCTCATGCCTGTAATCCCAGCATTTTGGGAGGTGAAGGCCAGCAGATCACGAGGTCAGGAGATCGAGACCATCTTGGCCAACACGGTGAAACCCCGTCTCTACAAAAATTACAAAAATTAGCTGGGCGTGGTGCATGTGTCTGTAATCCCAACTATTCGGGAGGCTGAGGCAGGCAAATTGCTTGAACCAGGGAGTCAGAGGTTGCAGTGAGCCGAGATCACGCCACTGCACTCCAGCCTGGAGACAGACAAGACTCTGTCTCAAAAAAAAAAAAGAATAAAAAAGAAAAAAAAATTCGGAAGATAGCTGACTAGACACAATCAGGAAATGTCTCTTGCACTGAGAGGAACCAAAGTTTCATGTAAACCATTACACTTCAGACAGATCTTTAGAGAGAAAACACTTAATGAGACAGGTAGTACAGACACCATAGATGAAAACAGAAGTTGAAAAGTCTGCTCAGAGATGTTGGGTGCCAGGATTGGCTCCTGGCCCAAAACCAAATCTAAGAGAAGGGATGAGTGAAGGAACTCCAGGGCACCATATTCCTGCCGCAGATCTCTGGGGTCCTAGCCACAGGAACTCCCACAACCCCCACAGACCTTTGAACTGGCAGCGGTAGCCACCCAGAGATCAGGCAGAGGAACAGCTCGAATCTGCATGGAGCCTAGAAGGGTTTTCTTGCCGTGCAGCCGCAGCAAAATTCAAACATAGGCCCCCATCTCCCAAGCATCTCCATCTTGCACTCAGCAGCTTCAGTCCCTGCTGGTTGCCAGACCAGAAGAAAGCAGGACTGCTATTGCCATAAGAGTGCGGGTATCTGATTCACATGTCCCCTGACCTGCTGCCCCCTCTCAAGACTGCCCACCTGGCAGCTCTTGCAGGAGGGTACCCGCAGCACACCCCCACTGCCCTGCCGGGGTGATTTGCTGGTAGCCTAGGAGCAGTTTGGCCCTCCTAGCATGGCCACTGCTCAACCCCAAGGTGCTAGAGGACAAATCCATGGTCCCAGTCCCAACTCCCTGGGATTGAAGCATACCACCCAAGAGTATCGAGCTGAGATTGGGTCCTGAACTCGAGCATGGGGGGAGCCCCCACATTGATAACACATAGGAGACAGTATGCTGTGGATTTCTACGCTAGCGTAGGAGTTGAGCTTTTCTCCCTTCCCAAGACTGTTCTGGGACGGATGTGGCCTGATAGGCAACTGCAACTTCTTCCCCAGAGAGATCCATAGCCAGAACAACAGGACAGGTTCAGAGATCTGGATGCAGAAGGCTTGGGATAATCCTAACCAGTATAGCCTTCTCTTGGGGCAGATGCCAGAGGGTGACCTGCTGGGTCAGGGGAGCGTGACCTGGGTGGACCCCACAGTTGTCTGCCAAGCTGAAAATTCTGGGCCCTGAGTGCTTTCCTGATTACATACCCACAATACCACTGCTCTACCCAAGTGCTCTACTGCACTACTCTGTCCCTCACCCAGGTCACTACCTGACACCAGCAGACATACCCAACAACCCTCTCTCTGACTCTTGCAAGCATAGGGGATGAGTGAGCCCTCAGGAACTTGCAGGTCTCCTGATGACCTGACCCTCAGCTGGGACTGCCCCTAAGGGAGGTGGGAGTGCAGCCCACCAAACCCTTCCTTGGGGCAAAGGAAACATGAGCACAGCACCAGTACATGGAAAAGATGTTACAAAGGCCTGGGAACAGACTTGGAGAGGGAGTTATCTCTTGCCCCTCACATCCTCTCCTTAGAGCGCTGCTTGCATAAGCACTGAAAACCTCAAAGGTTGAGTGACTAGGAGGATATCTGCTGGCTCTTACTCTTAAGCACCAGCTACTGGACTGCAGTCTGAATTACACTACCAAACAAATATCCCTCCACTATGCAATGCCTCTGAAGCCTACAGTTACCTATCTGAATCCTACAGGTACCTATCTACAGCTTAGGAAACAATATACAACCTTGGTCCTCTGAAAGCACCCAGAAAATAAGCCAATTGATTATACACAACATTCACCATAGTCAAGCCCTCAAGAGAAAGAAGAATATGGAATCAAGCTGCATCGAAATGACCACAAATTTACAAAGAAAAACAAAGCTATCTCCCTCCTATGAGAATGAATCAGTGCAGGAACTCCAGTAATTCAAAAAGTCTCAATGTTTTGTTACCTCCAAATGATCTCACTAGTTCCCTAGCAATGGTGCGGTGGCTCACGTCTGTAATCCCAGCACTTTGGGAGGCCGAGGCAAGTGGACCACTTGAGGTCAGGTGTTCAAGACCAGCCTGGCCAACATGGTGAAACCCCGTCTCTACTAAAAGTATAAAAATTAGCCAGGCGTGGTGGCAAATGCCTGTAATCCCAGCTACTCGAGAGGCTTAGGTGAGAGAATTGCTTGAACCCCGGAGGCGGAGGTTGCAGTGAGCCGAGATCGTGCCACTGCACTCCAGACTGGGCAACAGAGCAAGACTCTGTCTCAGAAAAGAAAAAAGAAAAGGGAAAAGAAAAAGAAAAAGAGAAAGGAAAGGAAAGGAAAGGAAAGGAAAGGAAAGGAAAGGAAAGGAAAGGAAAGGCAAGGCAAGGCAAGGAAAAGAAAAGAAAAGAAAAGAAAAAAGGAAAAGAAAAGGAAAGAAAAAAGAGTAAGTGACGAATTTCCAGGCAATGTTAAAAATTTAAAGTCATAAATTCATTAGATGCGTAGACTAGTTTGGTGGCTTGGCTTATGTAACTAATATAACTGGATTCCAAAGCTGCTAATTTGTACCTTGTTAATGTCAGAAATGACTTCACCCCAGAGCTTTACTCCTACCAATGTGAATATTTCCATTTTCATGTATATGTTGATAGACAACAGTTAAATATTCAGCCATCAAATATTTTTTGAGAATTAATTTTTTGCTGATTACTCTGTCACACTCTCATATGTACATTTAAAAAATTAGTTCATATTTGAAATATGTTTATACACACACCATTCATATATATATATATAAATCATTGTATTTGATTTTGAGTGCCGTCTTAAATGTGAAATATCACTGTTACATATTTTTTAAAGTTTCATAAATGAATGAATGAAGCAGTAATTGATGCCTATAAAGTAGCAATTTTGATTACTTTTCTACTAATATAGCTATAGTTTGGAGATTATTTACTCTTTTCTCCTAACCCAATGTTAAATGTAATATTAGTGATTTGATTCAGATGTTTAAATACAGGTAGATTCTGATTCAGATTAAATTATATTTCCTAAATTGTAAAAGTAAATAACACCAGGGATATAGGAGTGCATACCAATAAGAATAATGTATTAGTTTTAGAGATATCAACTTCCAGAGTTGATAATTGTAAACCAAATAACTATGATAACTTCATGTTGACTTTGGTTTAACATGTATTATGCTTGTCATAAATTACATACTAATAACTAGTCACAATTATGTATCACCTGAAATCCAACAATTTGGTCTGAAGTGAACCATATGTCATAACCAACTGTGAAGGTGAATGTTGAGCTCACATCCTAATGTGGAAACTGAAGAGGCATAGCAAAGATTTGTTATTAAGCAAAAAGCAATCAATCTCACTCCACTGAACCTAGTCAATGCAGCTAAAATTCTCTTTAGAAAATAATTATGAGTCTGTTGTAATGCATAGACATGTGTGTGACCAAGGTATCCAAATTCTGTTCCAAATGGCACAGACAGACATAATGATTTTTAGTCTGGACCTTCTTTATTCAATTGCAGTGAAATCCACTCATTTTAAATTGCAGAATTCAGTGGTAATTAGTACATTTACAATGTTGTGCAATCACCATCTTTGTGTACTTCCAAAACATTGCCATTTTCACAAAAATCAAATCTTGTGTCTTATAAGCAGTCACTCCCTAATCCCTTCTCCAGTCTCTGACAACCAGCAATCTGCTTTCTGTCTCTATGGATTTACCTATTTTAGGTATTTCATATAAAGGATTTATACAATATGTGACTTTTTATGTCTGTCTTCTTTCACTTAAAGTATAGTTTGTAAGGTTTATCCACATTGTATAATAGCATGTATTAATACTTCTTTCCCTTTTATGCCACAATTTGCTTATCTATTTATCCATTGATGAAAATTTGGGTTGTTTCTACTTTTTGACTTCTGTGAATAGTGACACTATGAATATTTATGCCACGTATTTGAGTATAATAGTTTTTCAATTATTTTTGTGCGTAAATCTAGGTGTAGAATTGCTGGGTTATGTGATAATTCGATGTGTAACTTTATAAGGTACGGTCAAACTATATTCCACTGTGGCCAAACCATTTAAAATTCCCACCAGCAATGTATAAGTGTTCCACCTTCTCCACATCCTTGCCAATACTTCTTATTTTTCATTAAAAAAATGTGAAATGATATCTGATTGTGATTTTGATCTGCATTTCCCTAACAAGTAGTATATATTATCAGCTATATAATTTGGCAAACATTTTTTCCCAATCTACGAGTTACCTAGTAAGCTTCCTGAAAATATCCTGTGATATACAAAGGGTTTTTAAAAAAAAAAAAAAAATTTGTTGAAGTTCAGTTTTATCTATTTTTTCTTTTATTGCTTATATCTAAGAATCCACTACCAAATCTAAAGTCAAGAGGGTTTCTTCTAAGAGTTTTTTAGTTTTAGCTTTTATATTTAGGTTATTGATCCATTTTGTGTTAACTTTTGTATATGCTATGAGGTAGGGTTCTAAATTTACTCTTTTGCCTGTGGGTATCCTTTAGTCTCAGTACCATTTGTTAAAGAGACTATCCTTTCCCCTTGAATGTTCTGTCTCTCTCTCTCTCTCTCTCTCTCTCTCCCTTCTTCTCCCTCTCACTTGAATGGCCTGTAAATAATTCTCATATGCCTACTCATGCTCCTTTTTTGCCTTCAATGTTCTTCTTCACATTTCTCTTCTGCCACACTTTTAGTCACCCTTCTCTGTTCAGGTCCTGGCTCAAATGCTATCTCTTTCCAGGTCTTCTCTATACTTGCTAAGCCTGGAATGATTACTTCCCTTACTGGCACTGCATGACAGCTTGTGCATACCTTTATTGGAATATTTTTCATGTTTATTGTGGATGTTTGTCATTATTGTGAGATATTTGAGAGTGGGGTTTGTTTATTAAGAACTTTTATAGCAAATGGGATGAAATATCCAAAATGACATGAGGAGAAAAGATGATAGAGAAATAAGCAATCTAAAAGTTTGATAATGAGTTTCAATTCTAAAAATTCTGTCTTCTTGAAAAAATAGTGAAATTATATATATATATATATACACACACACACACATATAAATTCACAAATATACATGTGAGAGTGTGTATGTGTGTGTGTGTGTGGACAGAGAGAGAGAGAGAGAGAGGATACAGTATTTGAAAAGATGAGAGATCACTCACGCCCAGGAATCTCCCTCTTGGTGCTAAGAGTCTTGCTATCAACTTTCCACTTACAAGGATTCTGTGAATTCTGCAGATGATTCTGCAACATCTGCAGAAAAATTCACATCATCTGTTGAATGACAGCATAGTTTTATCATAAAATAATTTTAAGACATTTACAAATATTTAAATGAGAAGGTATTATTTAGTACCATATGTTAATGAGTAGCTTCGGAATATATGTCAAACATTTTTACTCTTCTTGTCAGTCATGTTTCCCTGCTGCTTTTCAACAATTTAGGCTACATTACAAGGCTTGTTCATTAAGGAATATGTGTGTAAGAAGATACATAGATGGTGCCTACATAAAACACAAAGGAGAGAAGGAGGAGGCTACAACAGAGACAAAGATCACAGAGTAAAGGGAAGGAGGATCTTTTTCATATATGAGAGGGAGATAGAGAAAGAAAAGGTATTAGAGTCAGTGTCTTTCCTTGCGCTGATCCCTATTTTGAATTGCAGAGAGGGAAGGAGAATGAGTAGATTGGCAAATCAAAATCATTACTGGGAAAATCAGGCCTCAGAAGCAATTTTGTGCCACATTAAGTTTGGGAATCTGGGTGGGGAGCATCTCAAAGTGAGCATCTTGTGAACACATGGCACCCACATTGCAATGAAACTAGAAGTGTGAAAAGTAAAATTCAGGCAGAAAGAATTAGAACTAGTACCAGCAGATCCTCTATGACAACTATATGGAACTTACCCATGAGTTTCTTATTGCCATATTGTAGTTACACAAAATAATTGATGGTGTAGGCTGGAGGTTTCCCTACAACAAGGTTGGTCAAAGAGCCCATCTGATTGAGGGCTACAGGGCCTGGAAATGCCTGCTCTGTGGTTCCATTGGAGTTGTAATCAACATCATGGAAATCATCAAGCTGAGGTAAGGCCTGGCCAGCAAGAGGATGTAGTCTAGCCCTTTGCAATTATCTATGACAAGAGAACCACCCAAGCCTTTTACCAGCCTTAGATTTAAATAGAGAAAGCTATCGTGAACCAAGAACAAAGTACTAGGACTCAACTGTTGATCTAGAGATACTTCTAGTTTTCATTGGAAAAACATTCCAGTTGTCTACTGTTCAGTCCTACTGACACTATTATATGAAAGAAAACTGGGAGACACTCTGAGAGTCTAAAGATTTACCTAAGAGAGAGTTAGTTTACTTAAAAGAGATTGCTTTGAACTGAAAAATACTGATATAATTTTTATTGTCAAGTTTACTATTTTTTTCCTGCTATATGGCAGAAAGTAGCTTAAACCAGTTGTGGGAAATTAAGACGCCACAAATTAGTTCGCAATTTATTTCTATTGTTAAAATATTGATCCAACTGTATTTTTATAATACTTTCTTATCCATATGTTTTATTTATTATTTAATCACTTGGTTAAAAATTTTCTCCAAGAACATATAAAATATTTAATATAGTAAATCATTTTTATTTATGATCAGAGAGATTAAATTATTTATATGTATGTGGCTAAGAATGCATTTATAGAACAACATATATAAATGAAATATTTATTACCAAGAGGATAAGGAAGGAGTTGGTACACAGACCCACTGGTCAAATTCGGCCAATTGCCTGTTTTTGTAATTAAAGTCTTATTGGAATGTAGACATCATCATCTGTTTATGCATTGTCTATGGCTGCTTTGCACTACAACAGCAGAGTTGAGTAGTTGCAACAGGAACTATATGGGCCTCAAAGACAAATATATTTACTACTTGGCCCTTTATAGATAAAGTTTGTTGAGTCCTGGCATGAGGAATCATTCCTTGCAGATATTTAACACATTTTTACTTTATTGTGACACTAACAAAGTGTCTCTAAAACCTCTATTTGTGAAGGGACTTAAATTACAAACAAGTTAAAATATTTTTATAACCATGCTAAGTATCTGCATTATAATGGAAAGGCAAAAGTAGTTAACAAATGGTTGTTTAATTTTTGGCAACTTTGTAAAATAAATCTTGGATGGCAGAAATCAGGTAACTTGAAACCATTGAAAATGAGCCAATTTAAAAAACAAGGCTATGTTTTCTTATTTCCCCAAGTGTCCTGGAATTCTGTAGCTTTTCTCTGCTTCTATGCTAAAACTCATGCTGCTATTATTGAACACTGTAAGCAGTAGAACACTAATATCCAACAGATGCCCTAGCCATTGCTTAAATTACTCACTTGGGCACAGAGAGGGAAATTAAAAAGTAACCCAGTGAACATGTGCATTTTGAAAAACAAGTAACATTTTTAGCCCATCTTAATTGCAGATTTCTTTTAAAGGAGAGGCAGTAAACTCTTTAAAGATCCAATTTCAATGTTTCTGAAAGCTAAAACAAGTTGGAGGTAAAGAGAATAAATCTGGCTTGCACATTGAGCTAAGCTTCAGGGTGTCAGCCTGCTGGAAATCAATAGAGCATTCCATAGACAGTCTGCAAGATCACAGACTCATGCTGGGTTATAAAAACACTCTGATTTTACATTTTCTTTCTTCCTTTCTGCTAGTCTGACCTTTGGTTGCAGAGTCAAACAATGAAGTGAGAATAAAATACACAATGGAAATTCTTTGAAAATTAAAAATGGAACAACTTTTTGTTGAAAGAAAAAAAGTCTCAGAATATAATCTTTGAGATTAGAGAGTCCTCAATTCCAAAATCCACTGATTACTATTGTTCCTTTTACTCTGTTTTGCAGTAATGCAGTCTTATTTGGAGCTTCTAACAGAATAATATGAGTTCGTGATATTTGAAATTGTGATGTCTTAACCAAATTAATTTCAAGATTCAAAATCTGCACAAAACAACTCTGGCCTAAAGATTTTTTGCCATGCAGAGCTCTTTACATGGATCCAAAATAGAAGGAAATGAAGTGGATAATAATCCATAACCATTTCCTTCAGTTCAGAAAAGAGGCACAATCAGAAATAGTTAAAGCATATCCTATAAGCACTGCCATTAGCTGATTCTAGATTAGTCAGCTACTCAGTTGTGTGTGTCAGTTCAGATACATTTAATCAGTGAAATCAAGGAAAGACATAAAATCTATATAAGTTATTTTCTTAATAGTTATAAGTTATGCAAACCCACAGCAAATATCATACTGAATGGGCAAAAGCTAGAAGTATTCCCCTTGAAAACCGGCACAAGACAAGGATGCCCTCTCTCACCACTCGTATTCAACATAGTGTTGGGAGTTCTGGCCAGGGCATTCAGGCAAGAGAGAGAAATAAGGGGCATTCATATAGGAAGAGAGAAGTCAAATTACCTTTGTTTGCAGATGACATGATCCTATATTTAGAAAACCCCATCATCTCAGCCCAAATGTTTCTTAAGCTGATAAGTAACTTCAGCAAAGTCTCAGGATACAAAATCAGTGTGCAAAAATCACTAGCATTCCTATACATCAACAACAGGCAAGCTGGGAGCCAAATCATGAATGAACTCCCATTTACAATTACTATAAAAATAATAAAATACCTAGGAATACAGCTAACAAGGGAAGCGAAGATGCTCTTCAAGGAGAACTAAAAACCATCGCTCAAAGAAATCAGAGATGACACAATCAAATGAAAAACATTCCATGCTCACAGATAGAAAGAATCAATATCGTGAAAATGGTCATACTACCCAAAGTAATTTACAGATTCAATGCTATTCCCATTGAACTATCATTGACATTCTTCACAGAATTAGAAAAAAATATTTAAAAATGCATATAGAACCAAAAAAGAGCCCAAATAGCCAAGACAATCCTAAGCAAAAAGAACAAAGCTGGAGGCATCACGCTACCTGACTTCAAACTATACTAAAAGGCCACAGTAACCAAAACAGCATGGTACTGGTACAAGAATAGACACATAGACCAATGAAACACAATAGAGAACTCAGAAATAAGACCACACACCTTCAACCATCTGATTTTTGGCACATCTGACAAAAGCAAGCAATGGGGAAAAGATTTTCTGTTTAATAAATAGTATTGAGAGAAGTGGCTGACCATATGCAGAAAATTAAAACTGGACCCCCTCTTTACACCTTATGTGAAAATTAACTCAAGATGGATTAAAGACTTAAATAAAAAAAACAAAAATCCAAAAACTATAAAAACCCTAGAAGAAAATCTAGGCAATACCATTCAAGACATAGGCATGGGCAAAGATTTCATGATGAAAACGCTAAAAGCAATTGACACAAAAGCAAAAACTGACAAATGGGATCTAATTAAATTTAGGAGCTTCTACACAGCAAAAGAAACTATCATCAGAATAAGTAGAAAACCTATTGAATGGGACAGAATTTTTGCAATCTACCCGTCTGACAAAGGTCCAATATCCAGCATCTATAAGGAACTTAAACAAATTTACAAAAAACAAAAAACAAAAAAACAAACAACACTATTAAAAAAGTGGCAAAGGACTTGAAGAGATACTCCTCAAAAGAAGACATACATGTGGCCAACAAACCTATAAAAAAATATTCAACATCATTGATCATTAGAGAAATGCAAATCAAAACCACAATGAGATACCATCTCATGCCAGTAAGAACAGCTATTATTAAAAAGTCATAAAACAACAGATGCTGGTAAGGATGCAGAGAAAAAGGAATACTTTTACACTGTTGGTAGGAGTGTAAATTAGTTCAACCATTGTGGAAGGCAGTGTGGTGATTCTTCAAAGACCTAGAGGCAGAAATACCACTCAATTCCAGCAATCCCATTACTAGGTATATACTCAAAGGAATATAAATCATTCTGTCATAAAGATACATGCACGTGTACGTTCATTGCAGCACTATTCATGATAGCAAAGACATGGAATCAACCTAAATGCCCATCAGTGATAGAATGAATAAAAAATTGTATTACATATACACCATGGAATATGCATCCATAAAAAGGAATGAGGGACATGGATGGAGTTGGAAGCCATTATTCTCAAAAAACTAACACAGTAACAGAAAACCAAATACCCCATGTTCTCACTTATAAGTGGGAGCTGAATGATGAGAACATATGGACACAAGGGGAAACAAAACACACTGGGACCTGTTCGGGGTGCGGTGGGGGGAAGGAGAGCATCAGGAAGAATAGATAATGGATGCTGGGCTTAATACCTAGGTGATGGGATGATCTGTGTAGCAAACCACCATTTACCTATGTAACAAACCTGCACATCAAGCACAGGTACCCCTGAACTTAAAATAAAAGTTGAAGGAAGAAAATAAGTTAGGCCAAACCCTTAGATCTTAAAAAAAAAACCTGAAGTTTCATTTTTTAAAAAAATGTAGATGTCTGCGTGTACATGACATATACTGTATTTTTAAGACTTCATTTAATTAATGCTTTGTAATGAGCTGGGTTTTTGTTGTTGTTGTTTGCAAAGGATGACACCTGGATAAACTGAATAAAAGAGGAAGATCCAAATGATTCAGGAATGAAAAGGGCAGAAAAAAAATTACAAAGGTTAGAGTAATACAGTTTAAAGGTTGAAGGAGTCTGCAACCAGTGGCTGAAATAATGAATTATTGATTCAAGTCCAGCCACAGATAAATTCTTGAAGATTTGTTACAACTTGTAAGAAGATGCTCAGAATAAAATCAAGCATCAGTGCTTAACCAGTCCACAAAAGACATGAGTTGCTTATTTACTTTGATTTCTTTTGTGTTTGGCAAAGAATTTCACTTTCAATTTGTAGGCTAGGATTTTCCAAAGCTTTAGGATTCAGAACTAATAATCACCATTGTAACTTGCCAGACTATGTTTGAATAGACGTTTACAGCACAAATGCAAGCAACTACATTTTCTCCAAGAATTAAAGGAACTCTAACCCTGCTGTGAAGCAATCACTTGACAAAATAACTTGTTTTTTGTTTGTTTGTTTTTTTCAAAAAAACCCCTCTCTTTATTTTCCTTTCCATATGAATATTACTTTCCTTCTTTAATTTTTTGGACAATCAATAATTTTTTGAAAATGTTTGGTTTAGGTAATGTATAAGCCAATTATGTGTTAGTTTCAAAACAATTTTTCTAACAGTAAATTGCACGTTTTTTTGAAAAAGATAACACTTCATTCACCCACAGGCCCTGCACTGAATCCAGGATCTCTGTATTTTATTTCATTTCACTAACGGTAACAGTAAAATGTTATCTAAAATTGTTATTGGCAGTAAAAGTTACAATCACTTGGCAAACTGTAGGTAGCTGTGAAAGTAGACATGAAGATAAGCTGAAGCCAGACAACCTGGGTTCAATTCTCGGCTCAACCTCTTACTAGCTGCTTTGTCTTGATTTCTGTGTTTCTCAGTTTCCTGATCTGCAAAATGGAATTGATAATAATACTTTCACTTATAGGATTGTTGTGAGAATGCACTGAGATAATTCTTGGGCTGCTCTGTAGCATATTTGGAGATGCTGTAAAGAAATTATTGTTTTTTTAAAAAAATATTATTTAGGCATAATGTACAGATAAAATTAAGTTTAAAGATAACACAATATTTGCAAAATTAAACTTTCCACATTTTTGTATTTAAGTTCATGAAAAGTTGAATAATATAACCCAAGTCAGAAAAATAAATGCCAGCAATTTGGCATTTGCATTAAAATATCTATCTTTTAAATTGTGATGCTGATTCTGTTTGATTCAAGTGATCTAAGGATTCAAATATTTACTGATTTTGAAATTAATTCGAGTTGCTCCAAAAAATGCACCATCATACTTTAATAGAGTGGAAGTTGTTTGAAGTTTGATAATCAGCCTTCCTGAGAGCAAAATTATAAGACTGAGCAGACACCTCTATGATGAAGTGAGGTGGTATGATCAGTTGTGCAAATAGGCAAAACAAAAGAGAAACAAAAATCAGTATTTTTGTTTGAGTTGGAGTCTTTGTGCACTGAGAATAGGCAGGGTTGATGTTTGGGTGATTAATGACTTGCCTTGCACAGATTCTCCATTCTCAGAATGTGTGCTCTGTGAATATTGGTAAGGCAGACCATGGTAAACAGTGTTTATTATGTTTACAGCATAGTTTTCCCTCAGACACTGAGTGCATGGAGTTACTGGATATATAAAAGGAAGCCAGGATTAATTTTTAAAGCTGTGTTAGGACCTCCAATGTTAGAAACATTCTTTTATTTTAAAGCCCGTGGCATACTGTCTATCTCATGGTACATATAAAATCATCAGGAACTTAAAATTGTAGGCTTGGTGAAATCAAAGAAAATAAATTGAACATAAGCATAGATAAAGCATACCTTTTTACTGTGCAATGAAATTTTCCTTATCCTTCTAACAAATACACACTCAGGGTGCAACTGTGATTTGCTAGAATAACTTGAGTCTGTCCAGTATTAGATTGAGTTTCCACATTAGAAACTGTGAAAGAATCCAGCAACTCCAATGCAACATAATGAGAACTAGAATATCTTCTGTAATCCAAATGCCACAATGGGCACAATATAATATTTAATATCAACATTTACAGAATGATAACATATCTAAAAAGTAAATCAGTTTCTTATTAGTGGATTTTGCCAGATAATATTTGAAAAATTACAATGGCAATTCAGCAGCATCAGTCAGTGTTTGTAAAATATAGCACCTGGTTCTCAATAAATTCTCATAGTTATCATAAAATACAAATAAAAATTAATTTTATATTTATAGTAGAGTCACCTCCTTAAAATATATGCATGTTTTATCTATAGCCTATATTTTTATTTCAGACTGGCTCTCCCTCTGTTATCTCCGTGTTTCAGGATTTTCAGTTAGTATACACTAACTGTGACAATTGAGTAAAGTTGTATTCACACTTGACACTAGATGATGTAGAATATTAATATGCTCTTAAGAAATATAACATGAAGTATGTAGTTTCAAAAAGGCGTGATGCTTAAACTTACTTTCATATTGAATAGTAAACACTTTATAGAGGCAGGGCACGGTGGCTCACACCTATAATCCCAGCACTTTGGGAGGCTGAGGTGGGCAGATCACTTGAGTCCAGGAGTTCAAGACCAGCCTGGCCAATATGGTGAAACTCCATCTCTACTAAAAATACAAAAAATAGCCAGGCGTGGTGGTGCATGCCTGTAGTCCCAGCTACTCGGGAGGTGGAGGCATGAGAATTGTTTGAACTTGGAGGTGGAGGTTGCAGTGAGCTGAGATCACGCCACTGCACTCCAGCCTGCGCAACAGAGCAAGACTCTGTCTCAAAAAAAAAAAAAAAAAAATTAAAGAGAAGAACAAGACAAAGACAAATGTGACAAATCTTTAGTAATTTATGACACTAGGAGAAAAACATGAGTTTGTTCTTTGTATTATTCCTTCAACTTTTGCATGTTTCTAACCTTTTTCACAATAAAAAGTTAAAAGGAATAAATTTTCTATTATATTTTCCTTGATAAGAAGTCTATGCTTACTTATTAAACTATTAATGGGAAATCTGTATTTTAAAATGTTTATTTATGCAAACATGAATACTATATAATGAAAACCAATAGTATAGTATATTTGTGTGTGCAGATAGATAGATAGACAGACAGACAGACAGACAGACAGACAGACAGATAGATAGATATAGACAGACACTGTATTGGTCCATTTGTGTAACTATAAGGAATACCTGAGACAGGGTAATTTATAAAGAAAAGAGGCTTAATTAGCTCACAGTTCTGCAGGCTGTACGGGAAGCATGGTATTTGCATCTGCTCCTGGTGAGGGCCTTAAGAACCTTACAATTATGAAAGAAGGCAAAAAGGGAGCCAGTGTATGGCATGACAAGAGACATCTGCTGTATATTGTATTTGTTTTCCCTTGGATCACAGATTAGACTCTTCTCTAACAGTAATGATAAGAAATATGGCAACACTGCTCTCTAATGAAGAATTTCAGTTGTATTTAAACTATACCTTAAACACCATGCTCCATACAACTTAGGAAAATATAGTGTTGAGATACCAGCACACATGTACACTTTAATATAATTTTTCTAATATGAAAATAAGCAGATCATTTCAGTAATATAATATTTAGTGATTTTTAATTTCCCTTGTTTTGGTAGTTGAGCATCTCCCACTGAAAGACTAGACCATCAAGAAGACTGGCACACTGAGAGCAGATCCTTGGAAGAAAGGCATTGGGAATGGATGGAGGGAGAATGTAGACCCTGGTCTGAAGAGGGTGGAAGCTGGAAATACAGCACAGGACTGCCAAGCATTAGGACTCATTACTGGCCCTCAGCAGCTTTTGGGGAAAGGGTGGGTTAAATAGGTGAGGAGTGGACCACTGTTACCACAGGCCTCCGGAATCCTAGCACAGGAGATTCCATGACCACTAAAGACATTTGAGCCAACAGGGAGAGCTTCTTAGAGAGGTGGCAGGGACACAACTCTAGCATGTGCAGAGCCCAGAGGGTTTGGCACAGGAATGGCAGCAGTGGATCACCGCCAGGATGCCCATCCCCCAAGGCTCGCCACACTCCTCTAAGTGGCTTTGGCCTTTGTTGACTGTCGGACCTGAACAAAGCAGGTCAGTCTTGCCTGTGGGACAGGGCCAGTCTGATCTGAGCACCACCTGTCTGCCAGTATTTTCCAGGGTCTCTGCCTGGCCATGCCCCATTGCAGCGCAGACTCAGATGACCAACTGGAGTTCTTCCTGGCAGTCCCGGCCATAGCTCCTTCACTGGAAGACCCTGTCTAACCATTAGAGAGCTTCAGCAGATGGGTCCCCAATGAATTGCACCCACCTGCAGCCTCTTTCTACCGCTTTGCCAGCACACATGCATGCATGGAACTCACCACCTCTACCCCGCCCCTGCTGGTGCACATGGTCCCTGTTGCCCCATCACTGCTGGCGTGTGCTCATGAATGCAGACCTATTTGCTGGTATTCAGATGAAGCACTTTGCTGGCACCTCCCCCATCAGAATGTTGTCACTAGTGGGAAGGGAACACCTTGTTCCCTCCAGCGTAGCAGGTGCTTAACTAAAGTGGCCAGAGAGCAAAGCTATGGGCCTGGTTACAGCCACTCAGGGTTAAAACATGCAGCTCAGGAGTGCTGAACTGAATCTTTGTCAACTGAAGTAATCCAGAAATGAAGCCAGTTGACTGAATCCAACTTATACCACAGTCAAATTCTCAAGGCAACAAAGACTATAAAAGCAAAAAACTTATCCAAAGTACAACAACATCAAAGATTAAAAGAATATCAGCCCAGACAGATAAGACAAAACCAGCTCAAGAACTCTGGCAACTCAGAAAGCCACAGCATCTTCTGACCTCCTAATGACTACTCTAGCTCTTCAGCAATGGCTCTTATCCAGGCTAAAATGGCTAAAATGACAGACATAGAATTCAGAATATGAACAGTATTAAAGATCATTCAGATTCAGGAGAAAGTGAAAACCCACTCCAAGGAATCTAAGAAATTCAATAAAAAGATAAAATAGCTGAAAGACAAAACAGCCATTTTAAAAAAGAACCAAACTAATCGGCTAAAGTTGAAAAATTCACTACAAGAATTTCATAAAACAATCAGAAGTAATAACAGCAGAATAGATCAAGTTGAGCAAAGAATCTCAGGGCTTGAAAACTGGTGTGTTGGATCAACTCAGTCAGACAAAAATAAGAAATAAGAAATAATTTCTTTTTTTCCCCTTAAGGATTTCACTTTAATGCTTATAGTTATAGCCTAATTTGGTTCATGGCACTTTCAAGGGTGAAGGCTGTAAGAGTTGCTTAGTTATAGAGAGTCTTTGTATGATGGCTTTTCCGTATGCTGGTTGTAGAAGCAATGTGTTTGGTGTGTGAGCAAGTTCACTGTCTCCTATGGAGTTGAAATGGTAGAGGTCTCTTGAAGCTTATCTCATTCCCTCATGGCATGCACTTTTTCATTTATTTATTTTTCCTGAGTATTTTATTTACTTGATTGATGGTTCAGGTTTCAGTCCAGTAGGGATGTATACCTGGGTAAGAACCAGATGTGGCTAAAGCAAGTGGGTAAACACAATACCCAATGGTGGGCAGAGGTCCCAGCCTTGACGGAGGTGGCTGGAGGAGCTCTTAGTGAGTCACACTGAGGGCTTATCAAGGGGAAGTGTTGGAGCCACCTAAGCTCCCCTGCCAGGTCAGCAGGAAAGCTATTCACCTCTCAGACACATTGCCATCCCAGTGGTCTGGCTATTCAGGTCAGACAAGCACCTCTTTTCATCTGTAGGAAAGTTGATGTTCCAAGCAGAGGGAAATTGTGACTCTGTCTCTTGTGCAAGCCTGAACCTGGAGGGTGCTCCTACTGAGGGGATGCAGTTACCCAGAAGATCTCCAGAAGGGCTGTTAATAGCTGTACCTATGCTGAGCTCCTGTGGAAGAAGCACTGGGTAGTGTTAAGGCCTTCCTGGGTGGCCTGGACTTTCAAGCTCCATGGTATGGGTGCATAGCCCAGAGGCATTCTCTCCCACCTCACACTCTGGGGATTCTTAGCCCTTTGCTTGACTCAGTGTAGGCGGCCGCCTGCTGCTTCCTTGAAAGGGCCTGTGGATTCCTTCAGTATTCCTATTCAGTTCCTGCATTACGTCTTGAAAAAAAGTTCACAGTGTGAATCTCTACACACTATTTTGTCCTTTCCAGTAGGAGAGGTATGCTAGCAATGCCTCTAATACACCATCTTGGAAAAAAATAAATAAATTTTTCATGCAAGATATATTTCTGTATTATTTCATATCACCAGATACACAGAAAAAGCCTAAAAGTCTCCTGAGAAGAAAGAAACAAAATCTCTTCAAAGCAAATGGTACTTCAGAATTCTCATCAGTAAATACTAGATGTTGGGAAAAGATAGACCAATGCTTTCAAAGTCCTGAGGAAAATAAATTTGAATGAGAATTCTATAACGCACCAGTTAGGTATGAGGGCATAATAAAGGTTCTGAGAATATGCAAGAATTTAAAAAGCTGATCACACATGAATATTTTAAATAATTTTTCTGAGAATATAATTAAGTGACAGTGAAAGTGAAGGAAGATATCAGGGGGACTCTCTAAAAATGAGGAAACTAACAGAGGAAGACAATAAAAGATACCTAATTGTAACCAATAAAAGCAAAGATGAAAGTGATTCTACAAAAATCAAACATTGCTGTTGGTTTGAGTAATGTGCAAACCAAAAATTGATAATCAGATGTAGCAATATGAAAGTAAATGCTGGCCTTTATAAAAGCAGCTTCTATGGAATCTTAAGAACGAAAGTCTAAAAGGAATTTAAGACAAATTGGAAGCAAAGACATTGGAGACAAGAGGTTCATTCTTTAAAGAAGTTTTACATTAAAGACAATAGAGAAATTGAACTGTAGTTGGAGGAGAAAGTTCTCCTTAGCACTTTGTACTTTCCAAACTACAATGTCTTACTTATAGTGTTTATTCTGTGCACACTGACTAAAACTTGTAGAGTACAGAACTTTTTTGTGTCATTCACTGACACATCCTTAGTGTAGGACCTGATATATAGTCAGTGGTAACTAAGTGTTTATATAATGGATGAACAAAAACAATGCAACTATCAAAATTAAGGAGGAAGAAAGGGTGTATGTGGTGTCTCTTAACTAAATAATCATATTTCATAGTTAGAAGTCAGAAAATAATATCTATAGTAGGTAAATCAATAAATACCAATAAATAAGTTATTACATATTGAAAATTTGGAAGTTTTCAAAGTAATGGTCCGTGAGGGATCGGAGAGGGAGGTGTAAGGCAGGGATTATTGTTTTCCTTTACAGTATAATTTGTAATGTTTACAACTTTACCATGTTTATTTTAATTAGAGGCACACATATAATATCCTATATATTGGGCCCTGAGATGGGTGCTAGGGAAACATAAATAAAGAGACGGTGTTTGACTTTCTTCAGATTTCATTCATTGCAGCAAAAGAGAAAATAAAATAATGTGGTACATTTGTTAAGAGTTATACTTCCTTCTGAAAGAGCAGTTCTCAAAAAGCAGTTCCAAGAGTAATTAGAGAACTGCAGATATCACTGGAAAAAGTACAGAGGTTTCAAAGGTGATTCCAGAAAGAAAATCATTTGGATTTGAAGGGAGATCAGATCTCCCTGTTATAGATATAGAGCAGGCAGTAATAGGACTCCTTAAAATGGCCACCATAAAGCACCTATGAACCTACCACATTCTTGCCTTTATTATCCCAGATCAGGGAGGCCTGAAATCAAAGAGAACACTTCTAATTTTAAAATTTTTCTTTTTTTCTCATTGAAATGTAAGTGCCTATAGAGAAGTAAATGAATAGGGTGAGGGGTAAGCAACTGAGTTTTTATTGGAGGAAGAAGGAAAGACTGATGTAGTTCTAAAATTGGCCTGCGCAGGCCCATGATAAATTTTTCACTGGTCTGCTGTGAAATCAGAGAGAAAACAAGAGACTATGTGTTATATATATTTTTTTTTGTTTGAGACAAGAGTCTCACTCTGTCGCCCAAGCTGGAGTGCAGTGGCACGATCTCGGCTCACCGCAGCCTCCGCCTCCTGGGTTCAAGTGATTCCTGCCTCAGCCTCCTGAGTAGCTGGGATTACAGGCGTGAACCACCACACCCGGCTAATTTTTGTATTTTTAGTAGAGATGGGGTTTCACCATGTTGGCCAGGATGGTCTCAATCTCCTGACCTCATGATCTGCCCACCTCAGCCTCCCAAAGTGCTAGGATTACAGGTGTGAGCCACCGCACCCAGCCTATGTATTATATTTTTAATTTAACCAAATGTAATTCAAAGCATGAGTCCTCATTCTAAAATTATGCCATTATTTTCCGTGGTTAAAATTACATTTTATTTTAAAAATGAGGTTGATACTAGGTGGTAGGTAGGCTCACTTTGTTTTGTGTATTTACACATTCATGTGTGTACAATTGTCCATTCATAATAAAAAAATAGGTTGGCAATTCTAAATCAAGCGCCCAATTTGGCTGGCTTGAATTCAAATGGTGGCAGCTGAGATGTAAAGAAGTAGATAAATTTCAGATATGGAAATTTGAGTGGATGTGTATGGTCAGGACGAGGGTTATATTTACAATATTTAATCATTGGTCCATGAGCACTGCCAATCACAATAGATACTACCAATAAACAACAGTGGTGGTATGAATGTAGGCTACCAGAATACAAGACCTGGCTAGTGACTTTTGTGGATAATTGTACCTCTCAGGGAGATTGGGAATAGTGGGAGAGAAGCAATTTGCAGGAAACAGGTAAACACTTACAGGAAAATCACTATTTTAAAAGCAGGTTAAAGAGACAATTTATAGATATAACCAATTTTCCTTTATTCATTCTGCTATGAAAATTCTAATCAAGAAATATATTGTAAGGCTAAATAAACTATATTCCATAATATTCTTATTTTTAAAATGAGAATCTTTTTTGAAAATTTCTTCTTGCTTAATATCCACTTCAATTAATTAAACTGAGAGACAGAATTTTTTTCTAAAAAAGAACCTAATTATTTTTATACTAAAAGTATATCTGTTATTGTTATGAAATTGAAGAAAGCTATATGAAACTCTAATAACCACTGAGAGTTTAACAATGACTTTAGAGGTCATTGGAAAAGTCACTTCTAATTGAAAATCACAGGATTAAAAAAATACACAATAGGACTCAAAGGAAAGTTAAAGTAACTTTCTAAAATGTTTTCATTTAAAAAATAAATGTTCCAATATTATATCACTCACAGTTCTGTGAGTTACTTTCCTTTTTAAATATTTGGTATTCTGAAAAATTCTTGTCTATATTCAGATAAGTTTGTTATTCTTCAAGTAATCACTTAGGTACCCTATAAATATTAGATAAACAAAAATACGAATCAAATGTACTTTAACATTATGTTATTTCCTCCTTCTAATGAAAAACCAAAACCAGAAAACGTAAAACTCACAGTCAGAAAGCATGGAAAACAGTGATTGCACAGTCTATACGGACTGCTATTTCCTTATTTGGATGCAACATCTACCTTTCAGGGATATGATGTTAAACTGTACAGATCTTTACAAAATATTAATTTTTATTATTATCTCTCAAAATAATTGAAAGATTTTTTACTTGCTTTACTGACATTAATAGTAAAGTCTCAAAGAATCATTGTTCCCCACTCTAATTATCCAGAAACTTGTGCAGCTCTCAAGAAATTAGTTACAGATTCAAACTGGAGCAACTTAGAAAAATTGCTTTGATGTGGCCAGGCGCAGTGGCTCACGCCTGTAATGCCAGCACTTTGGGAGGCCAAGGCGGGCAGATCACGAGGTCAGCAGTTCAAGACCAACCTGGCCCATATGGTGAAACCCCATCTCTACTAAAAATGTAAAAATTAGCCGGGCATGGTGGCACTTGCCTGTAGCCCCAGCTACTCAGGAGGCTGAGGGAGGAGAATCGCTTGAACCCAGGAGGGGAGACGGAGGTAGCAGTGAGCTGAGATTGTGCCACTGCACTCCAGCCATCCAGCTAGGGCAACAGAGCGAGATTCCATCTAAAAAAAAAAAGAAAAAAGAAAAATTGCTTTGATGTTTTGCATTAGAGTATTGGTAGAGAAAGTAGACCCGTAAGCTGTGACTCCTCAGAAAACATAACAGAAACACACATTAAGGGACTGTCTTGTCTTTTCTAATTGCTCATAAAGATTGTTTGTTCTAAGAGTGTGCCATTCAATACTGTAGCCATGTGCCTCTTAGCACTTTACATATGACTAAATTGAGATGGGCTGTAAATCCAAATACACAATGAGTTTTAAAACCTTAATATAAAATAGAAATGCAAAACATCTCATTGTTTATTTATATAGATTATACATTGAAACGATATTTTGGTTATATTGAGTTAAATAAAATATGTCTTTGAAATTCATTTTGCTTGTTAATTTTTATATGTAACTACCAGAAAATTAAAAATTGCATTTGTGGGCCGGGCGCAGTGGCTCACGCCTGTAATCCCAGCACTTTGGGAGGCCAAGGCGGGCGGATCACGAGGTCAGGAGACCGAAACCATCCTTGCTAACATGGTGAAACCCTGTCTCTACTAAAAATACAAAAAATTAGCCGGGGGTGGTGGTGGGCGCCTGTAGTCCCAGCTACTCGGGAGGCTGAGGCAGGAGAATGGCATGAACCTGGGAGGCGGAGCTTGCAGTGAGCCGAGATCGTGCCACTGCACTCCAGCCTGGATGACAGCGCAAGACTCCGTCTCAAAAAACAAAAACAAAAACAAAAAAAATGGCATTTGTGGCTCATATTATATTTATATCGGGCAATGCTGCGCTACAGGGCAAAAAGAAAAAAAAAATGGGGTCCTGTACTTTTCTTCAAGCTGTGTGCTATACAGCAAACTTCAGGCCCAGTTGGGTGTTTACACTAACACTCTTAAAGTGTTCACATACATATATGAAGCATAAGTAAATATATCTGTATGAATTATGTTAATGCCTGGAGACATTTTTTGTAAAAGTGGCTTCTTCAGATTTATATATATTTTAATTCTGATGATAATAATCATAAGAATTCACCATTTATCTTCTAATATCCCTTTTTTAGAGCTAGAAAAAAAATAAGAGGGTTGCTTTCAATTTATGTGTCAAAGAAAGTTTTGGCTACTAATAATTCAAGGTAGTCATAAAAAACATAGGACAAAGAAAGAATTCTGGAATAAGGAAATCCAAAAGAAAATGCATGTTTCAGGTATTAAATTAATGCTGGTTATTCTCCTTCACTCACCCATGGTCATTTTATCCATTAAGATCTTGAGACTGTATTCTCTCCACTGCCACCCTAACACCCTAGTCCAAACAACTATCGATGCTCATTGCAATGACTTTAAAAGTCTGTAACAGGTCTCCATCTTTGCACTCATGGCCCCTACAATTTCTTCTCTGTACAACAGTTATAAGCATGTTTTGAAAACACAAATCAGGCCGGGCGGCGGTGGCTCACGCCTGTAATCCCAACACTTTAGGAGGCCGAGGTGAGCGGATCACGAAGTCACAAGATCGAGACCATCCTGGCCAGCATGGTGAAACCACGTCTCTACTAAAAATACAAAAATTAGCTGGGCATGGCGGCACGTGCCTGTAATCCCAGCTACTCGGGAGGCTGAAGCAGGAGAATCGCTTGAACCCAGGGCGCGGAGGTTGCAGTGAGCCGAGATGGCGCCACTGCACTCCAGCCTGGTGACAGAGCTAGACTCTGTTTCAAAAAACAAAAAAAACCCCACAAATCAGATCATTCATTTTTTTTCTTTACACCCTCTATTGGCTAAATGCTCATGGACTAAAATCTCTTCACTTGCACTTTGGTGCCCTATGAGATCTGGCCCTGTCAACACCTCTGATCACAAGTCACCCCCCTTCCCTCCTACCAACAACCTTTCCTGTTCCATTTCCAGCTTCCTAAGCTTCTTCTCTGCTCCAGGACTGCCTGAGCTCCTTCCTTCCAGGTTACTTTCCACTCGGCTCATTTTGCCCCAAGGGCTTGGGCATATGCTAACCTGTCTAGCTGGGTGCACTGCCACAGTCTTAAAGCCACCCTCAGTGTCACCCTGGAATATTTCTGTTCATAGAACTATCACTGTCTAAATTTATCTTGGTTATCTATAATGGGTAAACCAGATAGAATAAAATTGGTGGAGTGCAATCTGAAAAGTCTGTCTCTCCCACTACTACTGTCCAAAGCCTTGAAGAAGATGCCTTTCTCCAACAACTTTTGTTATCTCAGGATGGTTCTCAGTGCCAGAAGAGTCTCCTTTAGAGGTATTGCAGAAATCCAAAATCAACACTTTCTTCTGACATGCAACTGAAGCTTCTCCTGATCCTCCCTTTCTGGCACCCCATTCTCACTCTCAAGCTTGTCTGGGAATTTTGCAGACTGCTCCTGGGGAAGGAGGTAAATACGGCCTGATCTTTTCAATCCCCTGCTTCAACTTCCTCTCCTGTGATCATGGTGCTGATGTGGCTCCTTCAGGTTGCAGGACGAAATGGGATGATAGGTAAAAGACAAATACCTATGTACTTAATTGGTGCTACTTGATCTACTCCAGGTGACATGATGGGTTCCTTTTGTCTTCTCCTATCGTGAGTTACCCGATGTAGACTCTCCTGGAGTCATCTCACCCTAGCAGAACATATCTTAGGCTGGGTCCTTCCAAATAAGCCCAAACCTAACCTTCTTTCATTAAGTCGAATTCACTTTGGCCCAGTACATCTTGTCACGTGCTGATGGAAGTGGCATCTTGCTCTCAGTTTAACCATCTTCCCTCCCTCTGCGGTCCATTCTGTTGGCAGGAACTCACCAAGAGCCAGGGGCATTAAACTGTCAGCTTCTTCTCCTTAAAGAAGACAGCTCCACTGTCTTGGTGTTCTGGCCATCACAGATATGTGTTGGCAGTGGATGATGGGCTAAAGACTTCTCTCCGCCCTTCATGTGCCAGAAACATCATCTCTCCGTTTTGTAAATTTTAATGGAGAGATGATGTTTCTGGCACATCAAGGAGGGGAGAAATCTTTGATGATGTTTCTGGCACACAGCATGAAGATGTCACTTGGCAGCAGCTTGTCCAGCTAGATATATCATTTCTCAGACCCTCTTTCACCTGGGCATAACTGTATCACTAGTTCTCTCCAGTTGTATGTGAGTGAAAGTGATGTGTCACCTCCATGAAAAGGCCATTAAAAACTAGTGGAAATTCTCTTCTGTTTTCTCTTTCTCCAGCTATACACAGGAATCTCTGAGTCTCAAAAGGATGAAGGAGTCACAAGATGGAACGAGCCTGGCTCCCTGAATCACAACATGGAGGATGCCACCCACCAACCAGGAACACATTCACTAGATGGTTACAATTGTTAAAAAAATCTTTTACTGTGTTAAGCCATTGCAAATTTAGGGTTTATTTGCTGTATCAGCGTGATATACCCTAAAATACATATTTAGCAATTTCTATTAGTACCCAACTGCCTTTCCTAACATAGCGATGAGATTATCTATGGTTCTCAGGTTTGTGACTTTATTTGAAAATCCAGCTGGAAACCATCATTCTCAGCAAACTATCGCAAGGACAAAAAACCAAACACCGCGTGTTCTCACTCATAGGTGGGAACTGAACAATGAGAACACATGGACACAGGAAGGGGAATATCACACACGGGGGCCTGTTGTGGGGTGGGGGGAGGGGGGAGGGATAGCATTAGGAGATATACCTGATGTTAAATGACGAGTTAATGGGTGCAGTACACCAACATGGCACATGTATACATATGTAACAAACCTGCACGTTGTGCACATGTACCCTAAAACTTAATGTGTAATAATAATAATAATAAAAATCCAAGATAAAAAAAAACTTTCCATGAAATACCTCATTTCAATCATTTGTTTTCTCTGTAACTCTGCTATAATGTTAGCTTTGTGAAAATAGAGCCTTATTTGTATTGTTAATCACTGTTCCCTCAGCATTTGGAAAAGTGCCAGGAATATCAGAGACATTCAATAAATATTTGTTAAAAAATAAAATGTGCATTTTATAAGAGGCGTTAGTGTTTGTATATAAATCTAACTATAACTATATATCTATATATATAACTATATATCTAAATATAACTATATATCTAAATATAACTGATATTCTGGATAACACCAACTTTTAACTAAATAATAAAAAAAATGTGGAAATCTGACTCAGGAGGAGTTTCAAAATCTCCAGTTAAAGCAGGCTTCTTTCTTGCTAAAGTTATTCAGTGAAGACAGCAGCTTCAGATAGGAGAAAGACAGTAGATTAACTTTGTTACTTGGTTTCCAATTTGCATCTGCTCCTAATGGGAATAACTTCACTCACTAAATATTTGAGCTGAACTTCATCACTTCCTGCTCTCACTGGGTCAGAGTAAATAAAGATTATGTTTTTACCCATAAAGAGCTTGATTGAGTCAATGAGTCAATAATAATTTGATATAATCTAGTGGGAAATACATTTCACTACATCCTCTCTCAGAAGATAATCATCAGTTCATTATAAAAGAATCATTTCTGAGGTCCAAAACCAACAATAATATTACTTCAAGTACGATATATAATTGTGGAAATTGCTGATTTTATTTTTTTTCCATTTGAAAATATTAACAAGTCAATAAACAAATGGTACCAAAGGGAATTTTGAAAAGTACAATCCCCTTTAGAGTAAGTGATAACCATAATCTGTCTCAATAATTTTCCTCATTGAAAAGTCAGTGCCAGTAGTTCATAACTGAGGAACCAGGTAAGCAGCTGTAATTAGAAATGCCATTGTCATTCCTCTGCTACTGCCAGTAGCACAATACCATATCTACAGAAGCCATGCCTTATATCTAACCCCCATCTGCAATCTTCCACCGTTTGATCTGAAATATACAGAATGCAAAAGGTGCAATCTAGGTGAGTTGCTCATGCTGGGTTGGAAGAGATGTGGATTGAGGATGCATTAATAGGCACCTAGGAATTGTGGAAAAGCCAGAAATCACTGGAAGAGCCTATGGACTTATTCAGTATTCAGACATATTACATATCCTAGAGGCGAAAAAGAAAATTGTGAAAAGCTGTGAGAAATAGAAATATATCAAATTGCAGAGGCAGATCCCTAGGAAGTACTCTTCTGTTTAACTGCTTAAGACTGTGTGTGTGTGTGTGTGTGTGTGTGTGTGTTGATCCACATACAGTTATCTGTGTGTGCATTATTGAAATACTCATTTTGACTCTTAATTATCATTTAGGTAAGTTATTTTGAATATTATTTGTCATAAGTACAGAGAACTTTTTTGTCATAAGTACAGTGTTCAGATACAGTATACATGATTTAAGGAACCAGCATGCGGTAATTCTTGATACAATGAGGGGGCACTTGCCTTTTTTTTGCATGACAGGTGTTTGGACTTGTATGAATGAATGTAATTTCACATTCAGTCAATTCCTCCTCAGCTGCATTTATGGAAGAAGGCAGAGGAAAGAACAGTTTGTAATTTAAAAAGTATCTAAAAATTGTTCATTTTTTGCTTTGGCATGTTTTCTGAGCTTGTATTAGAATAATGGTGTTTCAGATATTTGCAATGTTGATTGCAACTACATATAATACTCCTGAATTGGAAGTCTATATAAAATATTGGAAGTCTATATAAAAAAGAATTGGGAAACTTGGGATTTTTCTACTCTACACTTTCCTTTCCATTCCCTGAACACTTTTTTTTCTTTCACTCAGGGATATAGAGAGATTTCAAAATGGTCATAACTTACTCTTTCAACCTTCCCAAAGTGGGAGTGTGAGCTTTTTTTTTTCCCCCCAATACAGAGTCTTGCTCTGTCTCCCAGGGTGGAGTGCAGTGGCATGATCTCGGCTCACTGCAACCTCCGCCTCCCAGGTTTAAGCGATTCTCCTGCCTCAGTCTCCCAAGTAGCTGGGTTTACAGGCGTGCGCCACCACACCCAGCTAATTTTTGTATTTTTAGTAGAAATGGGGTTTCACCATGTTGGCCAGGCTGGTCTTGAACTCCTAACCTCATGATCCACCCTTCTTGGCCTCCCAAAGTGCTGGGATTACAGGCATGAGCCACCATGCCCGGCCCAGGAGTGTGAGTTTTAACAAACATCCTCCATTGTGTAAATTGGAACATGCCCATAAAGCCACACATAAATACACACACACACACACACACACACACACACACACACACACATATATGTACATATACACAGAGTGACGTAGTTCGGCTCTCTGTCCTCACCCAAATCTCATGTGGAATTGTAATTCCCAATGTTGGGGAAGGGACCTGGTGGGAGGTGATTGTATCATGGGGACAGATTTCTCTTTAGCTTTTCTCATGATAGTGAATGAGTTCTCATGAGATCTGGTTGTTTAAAAGTATGTAGCACTTCCCCCTTCTCTCTTTGTCCTGCTGCCCCCACGTGAAGACGTGCTTGCCCCCACTCCGCCCTTCTGCCATAATTGCAAGTTTCCTGAGGCCTTCCCAGTCTTGTCTCCTGTACAGCTTGTGGAACTGTAAATCAATTAAACCTCTTTTCTCCATAAATTACCCAGTTTCGGGTTTGTCTTTACAGCAGTGTAAGAACAGTATAATACACAGGGGAACAACAACACTATCACAAATTTCAAATTGCAGCCAAAGCTTTCTAACCCAATGCACACTGGGCAGGATTGCTACAGCCTGAATGAAACAAAAAAAAGTTCATCTTTTGTCACTCAACATAATCTTATCAAAAATATATTATAAGTTTTGTTTTGTATTAATTCTAATGCTATGAGATAAATCACAGTTTGGAAGGATACTTGCCTAGCCATTTATTTTAGTCAATAAAGAAGAAATTAAAAGTTTCCTTAGCAAGGAGTAGTGAAAATGAGAAGACATACACCTTCTTCAAGACTTAAACTTCCTTCTGAAGACAAGGCACATCTCAGCTCCTTCACTGACTTTTCCATCGGCATTTGGGAAGCTTTGGGGATGCTCTCCTGAGCCTCAGGAAATTCAGTGGAGACAACAGGAAATTCAATGGAGAGAGCTCCCGATTTTCTCTATTAGAAGAAAAGATTGAATAACTACACCATGAGAAATGCAGTGTGGCATTTGAGCTTCAGGAATATGTAGGATCAGAGAACCAAAGTCCAACAGGACAATGTTTCACACATTTATGCAAGTATATCTGTTCCCTATTTCTGTCTTTTTAGTGCCCTTCCCTGCTTAATTATTTTCAACTTTATTATTTCTAAAGTCAGCTCAGTTTCCTCCATAGGGTAGAAAGCATGGTAGTCAACAGCTCTAACATCTTACACTCATCAGCAAAGAGAAACAAATTTTCTTTCTTAGTGCTCAGTACTGAACGTATCAGGAAAGCATGCTTATTGGCTTAAATTTGGTCTCACATCCACCACTGAAACAATTAATAAAGGAGAGAGGGATGAGGACATGTAAAGCAAAAAAAGAAAAAAAAAAGAAAAGAAAAAGTGATAGCAGAATGAGAAAGACAAGTTGTGCTAACAAAACAAAAGTTATCTGCTATACAAAAAGAATTAGATATATTTCAGAAATTAAGATCTGAGTATAATGCTGTGAAGTAGAATTGCAGGTAACCTACTAATTAAACACTGTCAAGAGTTGACAGCATCGGCCGGGCTCAGTGGCTCAAGCCTGTAATCCCAGCACTTTGGGAGGCCAAGGTGGGCGAATCATGAGGTCAGGAGTTCGAGACCAGCCTGGCCAACATGGTGAAATACAAAAAATTAGCTGAGTGTAGTGGAAGGCGCCTGTAATCCCAGCTACTTGAGAGGCTGAGGCAGGAGAATCACTTGAACCCGGGAGGCAGAGGTTGCAGTGGGCCAAGATCGCACCACTGCACTCCAGCCCAGGTGACAGAGTGAGACCTCATCTCAAAAAAAAAAAAAAAAAGAGTTGACAGCATCAAAGATTTGGGTACTTTCCAATTTTCTGTTCTACTATCCTCAGCATGTTGTGGACTCAGGATGGCTGCAGCAGCTCCAAGGCATCAAGGTCTCACACAGCATCCACAGAACAGAAAAGACAGTGATGTTTCAGTGTTATTCCACATTCCCATTCCTGAATCAATTAATAGCATGAGGAATAAAATTGCCATTTGAGGTTAGAATAATCTGGATTCATCCCAGACTCCATGGAGCACAAAGACATATAAAACATGATGTAACTCTAGGTTCTGTTAGCAAAAATGATTGGCTGAGATTGGCTGTGGGGTGGAAAGATGGGGGAATGGAGGGACAGAGTCATGGTAATTTGAAGATTGGTAACCACAGTACATTTGTCATGTATCCAACATGGCCTCAAACAGTTTTGTCAACTTGAAAACCAAATAATTTTGCAGTAACTTTAATGAGTGGCTCTACAGTTGAAAGCAACAGAAAAACAATGAAAGTTGTGAAGATGTGGATTGTATGGACAATCTGCAGGCAATGGCACCATAGGCTGAGGGGAATTATCATCAGCAAACATATCTTACTTGTTCCAAGAATATTTCTTGCAGAAATATTATGCTATTTTTACACTTCTTAATTGAGTGGCATTAGCTGTGAATTATTTTAAAAATCCTGTTTCCCTGCCAGAATCGCCAGTCTTTGGGTTGACTCTGTGAGTTTCTGAGCATTCCTTCAATAAATCCTTCTCAGCTTAATTTAACCACAGTTTGTTTTTATTTCTCTTAACCAATAATCCTGACTGGGGTGTTTATCCTCTCCCACAAAAAATTAAAATCTGCTTCAGTAATTCAGAGTTGTAATTATATTCAAATATCAGTTCTGATGAAAAGTAGTAATAGGAACTAAATTCTGCTTTAGCAAGGCTAAGAAATAGTATATGTTTCTTCTTCTTTATGTACATACTAAAAAAGTTTCAGAAAAATGTTTTCTTGTCTTCAAAAAAGTAGATTATCATTACAATTCTATATTGAAAAAAAATTCATATATATTTGTAAGCGGTAAGGTAAAATTCCTGTTCTTAAAACACATATTCTATCATTAAGATACCCCTGATCATTGAGAACATAGAGATATTCACAAAATATTAAAGAAATAAAAATGAAAGGGGAAATACCAGTGGCGTGAATGTAATAAATATCATTCTTATACTTAATTTCTTATGAGCATGCTTTAGTTGAATATTTGACAATTAAAATGATACATTTGATTATTATCAATTAAAATATTGAGTATTAACAACAAATAATTAAATGTAATTAAAACAATATTCATAGCAATTAAAATTGTCTTCATTTTTCATTTAAACCAAGACCATCAAATTTGCCTTTGTTAAATAATCCTGGACACAGAGGTAATAACAAAATAATGTTACTTTTAGTCTCTGTCATTTAAAACCCAAAATCTATACCAACTTCTCCAAATATTTATTTCCAAGTGAAAGTCCTGCTGTAGAAAAAAGAAAGAATCAATACTGATAGTCTTTAGCGCTCAATTCAGCTCTTACCATACCAGTGAGGGAAAGGATTTAAAGTTAAGCTCACTCTAGCAGGTTAAACATGATTTGAAACATGCTCATCAATGCAGTCAATATAATATAGTATATAACTGAAGGAAGTTTTCAGTAAGTATTTGTGATACATATTATTAGATTTTAAAATACAATTGCTATGATGGAATAATTTATCTCAATATGATAATTTAATATATATTTTTCTGGATAGCAATGAAAGTATACAACATAAGTTCTATCTGTTTGCAAAAAGAGATTATGAGAACTTAATGGGCTCTTACGAGAGCAATACACTTCATTGCAATTATATTTATGGATGGTCCAGCAGAGATACGGATCTCAAGATAATACCAGACTCTTAAACTGCTAACACCATCACCTTAAAAAAAAAAAAAAGTAGCACTTCCAATATAGGCTTCAGAATACCCTACTGAACATACAAATTTATGAAACATGATTATACAACATTTTTAAACTCTTTTTAAAGAACTTATTTGTCAAGAGCACTGAGGAAAGGCTATGTTTGTGAGCTATAAGAGACGCATCATCCTGTATGATTATCAAAGTGCCCTCTGCAAAGCTCTCTGCCCCAAGGGAATTCTGAATGGAGTAGTTACTAAACAGTGAGAATATGAGATTTATACCTGAGATACCAATATTTTTTCTTTCATTTCAACTTTTACTTTAGGTTCAGGGGATACATGCGTAGGTTTGTTACAAGGGTAAATTGTGGGTTGTGGGGGTTTGATGAACAAATTGTTTCATCACACAGGTAATGAAAATGGTACCCAATAGGTACTTGTTTAATCCTCACCCTCCTTCTACCTCCCACCCTCAAGTAGGCCGTGGTGTCTATTGTTCTCTTCTTTGTATCTGTGTGTACTCAATATTTAGCTCCCACCTAACAGTGAGAACATGTGGTATTTAGTTTTCCGTTCCTGCATTAATGCACGTAGGATAATGGTCTCCAGTTCCACCCATGTTCTTGCAGAGGACATAATTTTGTTCTTTTATATGGCTGTGTAGTATTCCATGGTTAATACGTACCATATTTTTTTATCCCATCCACCTTTGATGGGCATTTAGGTTGATTCTGTCTTTACAATTGTGAATAGTGTTGTGACTAACGTACACATGCATGAGTCTTTATGGTAGAATGGTTTATATTCCTTTGGGTATATGTCAAGTAATGGGATTCCTGGGTTGAATAACATCCGAGCCAAAAGCCAAAAGAAGAATGAAATCTCATTCACGGTAGCTGCATTCACAAAATAAAATATCTAGGGATACAGCTATCTAGGAACGTGAAAGATCTCTACAGTGAGAATTACAAAACACTGCTGAAAAATATCAGAGATGACACAAACAAATGGAAAAACATTCTGTGCTCATGGATAGAAAGTATCAATATTGTTAAAATGGCCATATTGCCCAAGGCAGTTTACAGATTACCTGCTATACCTATCAAATGGAGTTAGAAAAAAACTATTCTAAAATTCAAATGGAACCAAATAAGAGTCAAATAGCCAAAGAAATCCTAAGGAAAAAGAACAAACTGAGAGGCATTACACTACCCAACTTCAACCTATACAGTGAAGCTACAGTAACCAAAACAGCATGGTACTGGTACAAAACAGAGACGTTGACCAATGGAGTGGAATAGAGCGCCCAGAAACAATGCTGCACACTTAAAACCATTTGATCTTCAACAAAGTTAATGAAAACAAGCAGTGCAGAAAGGACTCCCTTTCTGCAATCAATGATGCTGCAATAACTGGTGAGCCACATGCAGAAGATTGAACTTGGCCCCTTCTCTTTCACCATATACACAAATCAACTCAAGATAAATTAAAGACTTAAACGTAAAACCTAAAAATACAAAAACTAGGAGAAAATCTAGGTAATACCATTCTGGACACAGGCCCTAGCAAAGTTTTCATTACAAAGACTGTAAAAGCAATTACAAACAAAACAAAAATTAACAAGTGGAATCTAATTAACCTAAAGAGCTTCCGCACACTAAAATACATTATCTACATAGCAAACAGGCAACTGACACAATTGGAGAAAATATTTACAAAGTATACCTCTGACAAAGGTCTAATACTCAGAATACATGAGGAACTTAAATTAACAAAAAACAATGAACACTATTAAAAAATAGGCAAAGGACAGGAACAGACATTTCTCAAAAGAAGACATACATGTGACCAACAAGCATATGCAAAAAATGCTCAACATCAGTAATCATTACAGAAATGCAAATCAAAACCACAACAAGACCCCATCTCTCACCATTCAGAATGGCCATTATTAAAATGTCAAAAAATAACAGATGCTGTTGGGCCTGCAGAGAAAAGGGAACACTTATACACTGCTGGTGGGAATGTAAATTAATTCAGCCACTGTTGAAAGTAGTTTGTAGATTTTCCGACATATATTTTAAAAAATAGGTGTTTCTGCCCACCAGGTGTACCCAGAGCCACATACTCCCACCCTGAAATCTGACCTCTGATCTGTTTTACAAAGTTGACTTTGTACTGGCATCAAATCCAGATTCTTTCATTTGTCATCGGTTCAACTTCTCACTTGGATAATATTTTGCTCTTTATTATTGAACTACTTCATGGTTTAAGATGTCTTCCACTTTTAGCAAATAATATGCATATTTATATCAGTATTGTCAAATTTAAAAGACTTTTCAAAAATGCTATGTTTGATTAATTTCCTTAAATAACTCACTAACCTCTCTGGGTCTCAGTTTTCTCATAATAAATGAGGGGACCAGACTAGTGAAAAATCTCAGTGCCTTCCTCTTCTGAAAGTATTCTTCACCAGTGTATTAATTTGTCTGTTATTATACTACAATGCATCACTGTGGTTGTGTATCATATTGTATAGCATTGTGCCTTACATAGTGCATTGCACTGCCTTTTACCATGTCATGTTACACTGTACCAAATACTATTTCATTTATAGTGATATGTTAACTATGAAGAAGCACTTTTAGAACTGGTGGATGTGACAGCAATCAGCAAATGTGAAGGAAAAAGAGAGGAGATCCAGGTGAATTGTTAATCCAAACATCTGCAAAGGGTTTTTGAGGGCAAAATGATCTTTTATATTTTACATTGCCTCTTGTGTCATTTGTTTTATAAATAATTACTAAATTACTTAAAATCATTAATGGGCAAAGAATAACGTTATCAAATTAATATTGATAGATTATTGATGCAACCTCTGCTCACATTTGTATTGGCTGCTTATTCAGTTCTGTGAAAGTGCTTTAAATGTTGTTATTATGTTTAAAGTTTCTCATCCAAAAATAAACACAAATTCTTAGAATGAAAACTATTTCCCTTTTTAGGTAGCTCATTTAAAATTTTAACTGCGTCTTTCTAATGTTTTTACCCACATTGAAACCACAGGAGAAATAATTCTGGAGAGACAAAGAATACTGCTACTTCATAACTCTGGGTTTGTGCCAAAGGCAATAGAATAATTAGGGGTCAGAAGACCAGTGTTCAAATCCCAACCTGATCACTGTTATCTTTTGATCTCTGGCAAAGTAACTAAACAGTCTTCCCATCTGTGGAATAGGGGCAATAACAGCTACCATTTGTAATAGCTATGATTAATATATGAGACAGTATTTGTGAAACAGCTATTTCCTACAGCATTAAAAATGTATATTAAAAATGAATTTACTCCTTATGATTAGATTAGCGAATTATTTTATTAAATTCAGAATGAGCAAGCATTTAAAAAATGATTACTATGTAACTTTATTACTTAACTACAAGCCTTAAAATACACTAATGTTTTTCTGTTCTAAATAACATCAACTACAGCAATTTTAAAAATTCTTGACAAGTATAAAAAAGATAAAAATTATCTATAATCTCATGACCAAAAGAAACCCAATTAATGTTTTCTTTTATAAAGATTCAAACAATAAATCAACATAGATATGGATATATAGATGTAGACATTATAAGACAGATTTATATAACTGGAATATTATATGCATGAATATAAGTATATATACATGTGATTTTAATATATACATGCATAAATGTAATATTAATCGGAGTTCATTCACAATTAATCAGAACAGCTACAGTGAACAACCAATTCACATAATTTTTGTGCACCTTTCTGGTTATTTTCTTCCAACAAATTCCTTAGAATAAAATCACTGATTCAAAGGGTTTGAGCAATTTTAAGATCTTAAAGAAGTTTCTGAAATCATGCTAGAAAACTTTTTATCAATTCACATTTGCATTACAATGTATGAGATTGTCTTTCACTTGATCCTCATTAAAACTGGACATTACCATTGTTTGTTAATTTGCTTATTTGACAGACAAAAAAATCTTATTTATGTATTTGATATTTTCATTTATTTGATGAATGGAAAGCTAGAAGGTTTTTAAGTTTTGTTTTTGTTAGTTTGGTTTGGTTTTGGTACAGTTTTAATAATTTTATAGTCCACATGTTTCCCCTGTGACTTGTCCTTTTGAGGCATTTGCTTATTTTTTTGAGGGGGTAATTTTATCTCCCACTAATTAATTAATTAAATTTATAAAGATTGCACATTTTCTCTACTTTTTAAATTATTTTATATTTTAAATGCAATGTTTAAAATGCAGGTTATAAAGCTTTTGCTTTATCCTTTATTTCATTACATTTTTGCCATAAATAGCCTTATTTATCATAAGATCAGATTAAAAAAATGCATATGCCTATTCTGTTTTAGTTCTTCTAAGGTTTCCTCTTACACATTTATTCATTTAATCCCAGATATAGTTTGGATGTGTGTCCCCTCAAAATCTTAACATTAAAATGTGACCTCTAATATTGGAGGTGGGTTTAGTGGGAGGTGTTTAGGTCATGGGGATGGATCCCTCATAAATGGCTTGGTACCCTCCTCACTGTAATGAGTTACCATGATATCTGGTTGTTAAAAAGAGTCTAGGACCACCCCATTCTCTCTTTTTCTCCCTCTCTTGCTATGTGACACAGCTGTTCCCCCTTTACTTTCTGCCATGAGTAAAAGCTTCCTGAGGCCTCACCAGAAGCTGAGCATATGGTAGTGCCATACTTGTACAGCCTGCAGAACTGTGATCCAAATAACCCTCTTTTTCTTATAAATTACCAGGCCTCAGGTATTCCTTTATAACAACACAAAATAGATTAATGCTAAAAATTGGTACCAGGAGTGGAGTGTTGCTGTAAATATACCAGAGAATGTGGAAGTGACTTTTGAACTAGGTAATGGGCAGAGATGGGAAGAGTTTGGAGGGAACCAAAGAAGAAAGAAAAATGAAGAAAAGTTTGGAACCTCCTAGAGACCGCTTAAGTGGTTGTTACCAAATTACTGATAGAAATGTGGACAGTGAAAATTAGGTTAATGAGGTCTCAGATGGAAATGAGGAACTTATTGGGAACTAGAGCAAAGGTTACCCTTGTTATGTCCTATCAAAGAACTTAGCCATATTGTGTCCATGCCATAGGGGTTTGTGGAAGGTTGAACTTAAGAGTGATGACCTGGGCTGGGCATGGTGGCTCACGCCTGTAATTCCAACACTTTGGGAGGCCGAGGTGGGCAGATCACCTGAGGTTGGGAGTTCGAGACCAGCCTGACCAACATGGAAAAACTCCATCTGTACTAAAAATACAAAATTAGTTGGGCATGGTGGCGCATGCCTGCAATCGCAGCTACTCAGGAGGCTGAGGCAGGAGAATTGCTTGAACCTGGGAGGCAGAGGTTGCAATGAGCCAAGATCACGCCATTGCACTCTAGCCTGGGCAACTAAGTGAAACTCCATCTCAAAAAAAAAAGACAAAGAAAAAAAGAGTGATGACCTAAGGTATATGGTGGAAGAAATTTCTAAGCAGAAAATTACACAAGATGGGGCTTGGCTGAGTCTAACAGCCTTTAATTAGATATTGTAGCAAAGAAATGACTTACAGTTGGAACTCGTGATTATAAGGAAAGAAAAGTGTAAACATTTAGAAAATCTGCAGCTTAGCCTTGTGGTAGAGAAGGACTCAGGTGTATGAGTCCATTTTCACACTGCTATGAAGAAACACCCAAGACTGGTAATTTATAAAGAAAAAGAAGTTTAATGGATTCACAATTTCACGTGGCTGGGGAGGCCTCACAATCATGGTGGAAGGCGAAGGAGGAGCAAAAGCACGTCTTACATGGCAGCAGCCAAGAGAGCATGAGCATGAGCATGTGCATGGGAACTGCCCTTTTTAAAATCATCAGATCTTGTGAGACTTATTTACTATCACGAGAACAGCACGGGAAAAATCTGCCCCGATGATTCAATTACCTCCTACCAGGTTCCTCCCATGACACATGGGGATTATGGGAGTCACAATTCAAGATGAGATAAATCCAGGAAGGCTACAGAGCAAACATTTGATAGAGACGTTGTCATGACTAAAAGATAGCCAGGTGCTAATAACCAAGACAGTGGTAAATAGGCCTGGAAGGAATTTCAGAAATCTCTAAGGCAGCCCCTCACATCACAGGTCCAGATGCCTAGGAGAAAAGAATTGTTTCAGGGGCCAGGCTCATGGTGCCACTGCCCTACCCCGCTTTCAGGGGCTACTCTCCACATCCTAGCTGTTCCAGCTCCAGCTGAAGCTCAAAATGCCCCAAGTACAGCTCAGCTGGCACCTTGGAGAGCACTAGCTGCTGTAAGCCCTGGTGGCTTCCATGTGGTGTTAAGTCTGCAGGTTGCAGTGAGCCAAGATCACGCCATTGCACTCTAGCCTGGGCAACTAAGTGAAACTCCATCTCAAAAAAAAAAAAGACAAAGAAAAAAAGAGTGATGACCTAAGGTATATGGTGGAAGAAATTTCTAAGCAGAAAATTACACAAGATGGGGCTTGGCTGAGTCTAACAGCCTTTGATTAGATATTGTAGCAAAGAAATGACTTACAGTTGGAACTCGTAATTATAAGGAAAGAAAAGTGTAAAAATTTAGAAAATCTGCAGCTTAGCCTTGTGGTAGAGGAGGAAAAAGCATTTTCAGGTGTATGAGTCCATTTTCACACTGCTATGAAGATGCCAAGGAGGCTTGGCATCTTTACTTAGATTTCACAGGATTTATGGGAAAGCCTGGGTGACCAGGCAGAAGCTTGAGACACGAGTGGAGGCCCTGTAGGGCAGTGCCAAGGGGAAATACATGGTTGGAGTCCCCACACAAAGTCCCCACTAGGGCATTGCCTTGTGTAGCTGTGGGAACAAGGCCACCATCCTCTAGACTCTAAAATAGTAGAGCCATCAGCAGCATGCACTCTCAGCCTGCAAAAGCTGCAAGTACCAGAGCCCAATCATCACACTGGCGTTTTCCAGGATGTGGGACACGGAGTCAAGGATTACTTTGGAGCTTTAAGGTTTAATTTCTAGCCTGCTAGGTTTAGGACTCACCTAAACCTTATTGTTCCTTTCTTTTGTCAGATTTCTCCTTTTTGAAATGGGAATATTTACTCAATGCCTGTGTCACCGTTGTATCTTGGTAGTAAATAACTACTCTATGAACTTACAATCTCATAGGTCAAAGGAACTTGCCTTGAGTCTCAGAGGAGGCTTTGGACATAGAAGCTACCCAAACAGCAATACTTTTCCACATACTTAAATATTTTTATATTTTTTTAAAGGTTTGCAATTTTCTTTAAAAATGTTCCTTCAGTTTGTGGGTGAAGTTATTGCTTGGTATTATTCTATATATTTTTGTTATTATGAATGGAACATTTTCATGTATCTCCTGCTGTTTTCTGCTATTCCAAAATAAGTAATTAAAAAATTTCTCTCTATTTAGTTTCTCTCAATATCTTGTCTTTTAAATTAAGTTGACTCTTATTATAGTCAGTCCTATCTTAGAAGCTTTATTAACAGCAAATAACTACCTAAATTATTTCTTCATATGCTTTCTCTTCTTAAGAAGCTTTTCATTAAATGAACTTTATTGTATATGTTATTAAAATATGTTTTCAAATTATCACACTATAACAAATTATGTCATATGGCTATTTCAGGCCTATTACATTCAGACTGCCCCAATAGCTCCCTTTAAAACAACACAGAAGGTTACTGGCCGGGTGCAGTGGCTCACGCCTGTAATCCCAGCACCTTGGGAGGCCGAGGCAGGCGTATCATGAGGTCAGGAGATCCAGACCATCCTGGCTAACATGGTGAAACCCAGTCTCTACTAAAAATACAAAAAATTAGCCAGGTGTGGTGGTGGGTACCTGTAGTCCCAGCTACTCGGGAGGCTGAGGCAGGAGAATGGCGTGAACTTGGGAAGGCAGAGCTTGCAGTGAGCCGAGATCGCGCCACTGCACTCCAGCCTGGGCAACAGAGCCAGACTCCATCTCAAATAATAATAATAAATGAAACAACATAGAAGTTTACCAACTGGTATATGTTTATTCGTATTAATGGAATATATTGTATGACTTAAATTGAAGTTTTGAAAATTAAGACTATGTAGATTTATTTTCTCTGAAAATATTACCTGTGATACAGGCACAAACTTTTCTTCCAATGGACCCTTTAAAAACCTCCTTATAATGACAAAGTACTCAAAAGTAACCAGTCAGAAAAGTTTGCAACTATCAGATTGTTAAAGTACTTTGTATAAAATTAGCTAGATTTAAACAAAAAATATGAATTATTTTTTTAAAAAATCAAAAGTTAAACATGCCCTTAACCTTACTAAATTTGTTATTCTTCATTGAGATTTCAGTTCCTGGACCCCTCTGTACTCTCTTCACATGCCATGGGCTCTGCTATGTTTTATTTTTCTTTTCTTTCATAATTCACCTTAGACCCAGTGGTTAACCACTTTAATGCTGTTTTCTCTTAAGCAACCTTGATTCTTTCGGTTTAATATCCTTTTACTAGACATATTCTGTTAATATCCATATATTAATGAATCCACACATTGTGTTTTTCCTGCTCTGGGTTGCTATATGGTGCTGAGAAGCTCTTTAATTATACCTATTAGCTCTGACATACGTTTGGACATCTCAGCCTCTTCTGGGCTGTAATAACTGTTTGACAGTCTTTTAACTTGTACCTAATCAGTTTTCCTTTGCATTTTCTTGATTGCAAATTCAGATATTTATCACTATTCTCAACACCCCCACCTTCATCATCACAGAAAATGAAGGCTATCAATCATGCTTTCACACATCTTTCTTTTCTTCCATATCTAAAAATAATTTAAATTGCTACTCAAACTTCTTATATGTAGTCAGAGTTTGAGATGAATACTCTACTCTTCACAGTAGTCTTTATCTATTAATGGTTGGATCTTTCCCTTTATATCTACTTCTTGTTATGATAAATAAGCTCCTTTATTTCCTAGATTATCAATTGTTAATTCCCTTCAAAATACTTCATATTAACTTTGAAACATGAAGTTACATTTTAAAAAATATGCAGAAAGTCTTATAACTTTTCCCATTGAAAGATTACATCTATGTTCCACACCCTTGATCACAGGCTGTGTGGCTACTTGAATAATAGAATTTGACAGAAAGGAACTTGTATCCGTTTTCATGTTCAGTCTTAAGAAGCTTATAGTTTCCACTTCTTGTCACATAGGATGTTCTTTCTTGAACTGTGCTATAAGGAAGGCCAGGCACATGGAGACATCCATATAAAGATGAACTGAGATATCCCAGCCCAGTTTTGGTTCAATTACCAACCAACAGCCAGCATCAACTTGCCGTTCATGTAACTGAGCCATCTTGGAAGTGGATCCCCCTGCCTTTAGTTATACTTCCTCAGTGGACAGTACATAGAGCAGAAATGAGCTTTCACATCAAGAACTTTTTAAATTGTTGTTTTCAGTCCCTAAAGATTGAGGTGGATTGTAATGTAGCAATAGACCATCACAATACTTGCTTAAATGTCTCCCATATTTGAGAAGATAAGCTTGATGAGATCAAAAAGAAATAGTTTAGTCTTCTTTTTCTTGATATTCAAGTTCTAGAAGAGTTGTATAATAATAATAATATATTATATAAAGTATAATAATAATATATTATACTTTTTGCTCCCTGAACCCATTGTCTTTTCTGACAATACCACCACATTGAAATTAGAGACTTGGTCATGTTCACTGGTCATATAGAGTATATACCAAACTCTTTATAAAGCATGAGAGAACCTATATTATATCATTTCACTCCAACTCTCTAGCACTCATTTTTCACACCATATATATACTGTTTTCTCTTACACATACACGCCTATTGTATTAGTCTGTTCTCACGCTGCTAATAAAGATATAGCTGAGACTGGGTAATTTATAAAGGAAAGAGGTTTAATTGACTCACAGTTTAGCATGGCTGGGGTGGCCTCAGGAAACTTATAATCACGGCAGAAGGGGAAGCAAGTACCTCCTTCTTCACATGGCAGCAGGAGAGAGAAGAATGAGAACTTAGTGAAGGAGGAAGACCCTTATAAAACCATCAGATCTCATGAGAACTTACTCAACTATCATAAGAATAGCATGGGGGAAAACATCCCCCATGATTCAGTTACCTCCCACTGGGCCCCTCCCACAACATGTGGGGATTATGGGAACTACTATTCAAGATGAGATTTGGGTGGGGGCAAAGCCAAACCATATCACCTATCATATTGTTTAATTTATAAATTAGGCACAGTAAGATTAATAATAACTGGTAATAAAATTGAATAATTATAACAATATACTATAATAAAAGTTACATGAATGAGGTCTCTGTCTCTCTCCCTCTCAAAATATCTTATTGTACTGTACTCAGCTATTTTTCTACCTCTCTTGCTCACAGGTAACTGAAACTACAGAAAGTGAAACTTCAGACAAAAGGGGTCTACTGCAATTATACTTCTTTTTGCTTAGACTGTTAGAAATCTCAAGACAAACTTGAAGATCATAACACTGTGGACTTCTGTATTTGGTGCATGTTTCAGGTACCTATGGCTGCAAAACAAACCACCCCAAAATTTAATGGCATAATCATTATTTTCTAATATTCTGTGACTTAACGGGGCTCATCTGTTGTCTTTTAGGATCTCTCATGCAGATACAGTTAGAAGGAGGCTGGACTAGAGTCATCTGAAAATTCAATTGGACTAAATTTCAAAGATAATGTATTAGTCCATTTTCTGTTGTTATAACTGAATGCCATAGACTTGGTAATTTGTAAAGAAAAAAGGTTTATTTAGCACATGGTTCTAGAACCCAGTAAGTCATAGAGTGTGGTTCATTTGGTGAGGATCTTCTTGTTGTGGCATGACTTGGTGGAGAGTATTAGATGTGACAAGGCAAGAACATGTGTGTCAGCTCAGATCTTTCTCTTCTTATGACACCAACATTTTTATCATGAAGGCCCCACTCTAATAACCTTATCTAATTCTTATTACCTCCCAAAGGTTACACCTCCAATAAACATATGAATTTGAGGATTAAATTTTCAACCCTTGTGCTTTGAGGAACATTCAAAGAATGGCATATGGCTTCTTCATCGACATGCCTGGCAACATAGCTGGAATGACTAACCCCACTTTGGGCAGGCCAGACCCAATCTAGCTCTCTTTCTCTCCCACCCACACCTGCAGCCTCTGTGCATGGCTTCCTCACAACATAATGGTCATCAGGTAGTGGAACTTTTTAATGACTGCTTGATTCATCTAGGGCCAGTATTCTAAGGGAGCCAGGAGGAAGCCACGAGGTGTTTCTGACATAGCCACACAACTTAGACAGCTTCACTTTCACTGCATTTTATTGATTAAAAGCAAGTCTTTAGTTCAACCCTGATTCAAGGAGAGGAACTACAAAAAAACATGAATACCAAGAAGTGTGATTTTTTTGTGGATCATTTTTATAGACTAGCTACTACAGTATACTTAGATTTTTTTTCTTAGAGTAGGTTTTCTGCTTTATTATTTTATAATATGTTTTTTAATTAAAGGTGATTTTTACTGTTTTATGGAGAAGCCAAGTAATATTAAATGATAAACTAATGGTACAGATGTAATAATAACACTATATACACAGGATGTTATGAGAATTGCTTGAGTTAATAAATATGTGAATAGTTTGTAAATAAGATCATACTAGTGTAAAGGTATATTTAAAAATAGTGTGTCATGGGAGTTCCTGATTTTGTTAAAATTGTAAGAATTTTTGCTTCAGACCAATGGTCTTAATATCAGCCAAGTTATTCACAGAGTGTTTAATGAGATAATACAAACAGCCTTTAGTAAATTGGGCAGAAGCAAAGAGAATTATGTCTTAGTAAAATTTCTGGAAATTTTCTACATAGTTCTATAAAAATCTCAGAGAACTTCTAACAACTTGTGGGACAATGGAATTAAGAGATAAAATTAAAAATATAATCTTTATTTCTCAATGTAAGCTCCATCAAGTTCGAGACACTTTTGTAAGTGGTATTACCAACCATTTAGTCCATTCCTAAAGAACTGAGAGTCATTGGACTTTGACCACATCAAAGCAGTCTTTTTTTACATTATTAACTAAACAGAAATGAGTGCCCTTTAAAGATTTTTTAAAATTAGGAAACAAAAAGAAGTCAAAGGGAGCCAAAGCAGGACTTGCTTACTGATTTCCCATTAAAACCCTCACCAAAGTGCCCTTTTTTCTTTTTCCTTTTCTTTTCTTTTCTTCCTTTCCTTTCTTTTCCTTTCCCGTCCTTTCCTCTCCTTTTCCTTTCTCTTTCCTTCTTTCTTTTCTTTTTCTTTCTCCCTTCCTTCCGTCTTTTCTTTTCTTTTTCTTTCTTCCTTCCTTCCTTTCTTTGTCTTTTTTTTGACAGTCTCGCTCTGTCAACCAGGCTAGAGTGCAGTGACGTGATCTCAGCTCACTGCAGCCTCTGCCTCCTGGGTTCAAGGGATTCTTGTGCATCAGCCTGTAGCTGGGACTACAGGAGTGCAACACCATGCCCGGCTAATTTTTGTATTTTTAATAGAGACGGGTTTCGCCATGTTGGCCAGGCTGGTCTTGAACTCCCGGCCTCAAGTGATCCACCTGCATTGGCCTCCCAAAGTGTTGGGATTGCAGGTGTGAGCCACCACGCCTGGACCCTCCTTTTTTTTTTTTTTTTTTAAATGAGAGGAATGCACAGGAGCATTGTCATGGTGGAAAAGGACTCTTGTGAAGCTGTCTCAGACATTTATCTGCTAGAGCTTTGACTAACTTTCTCAATCACGCTAATAATAAGCATATGTTATTGTTCTTTGACCTACCAGAAAGTAAAAAGGCAAAATGCCTTAAACTTCCCCCAAAACTGTTGCATTTTCTTTGCTCTTGACCAGTCAATTTTTTGCTTTGACTGGACCACTTACACCTGTTGGCAGCCATTGCTTTAGTTGTGCTTTGTCTTCTGGGTCATACTGGTAAAGCTACATTTCATGTCCTGCTACAATTCTTCAAATAACTGTTTTGAAATTTTCATCACACTTGTGGAAAGTTTGCTCAACTTTAATTTTTTGGTCAGAATTGTATAAGATGAACCAATTGAGATATCTATGGTATTGGCTACTGCTTGTGCTGTTAATTATTGGTCCTCTTCAATTCAGACTCAAGTAAGGTTAATTTTTTTTTCACAAATTTATGTGAACAGTCTGCTGTTGCAGGTTTCATCTTCAACATCATCTTGTACTTTCTTGAAACAAGTTACCCGTTTGTAAACTGCTGATGACTTAAGGACGTTGTTTCCATAAAATTTTTATAAAGCATCAATGATTTCCACGCAAATCAATGGGTGGAAGAAGCTTGAGTATTCTTCCACCCATGCTTCACTACAAATTTGATTGTTCTTGCTTCAATTATGGCCGAATTCATGTTGTTCTGACAAGGGCTCCTTTTAGACTGATGGCGTATCCTTCTTAGTGCCTCAGACTAACTTCTCTTCAGACATATCATAACAAGTTAGTATGAGTTTATTTGGGTGTAAAAATTTTGAAATGTATGCATGGTTTTTTCATAATACACATTTTCTCTGAACTTTTTGAAGATCTCTCATATAATCACTTGAAACTATATATTAACATTTTATGTCTATTTCTATCTCTATTTCATAGAAATGTCTCCTAATTAATACAACAAAACATAAATTAGGATTTCATTGGTACATTCATAATTTGATGAAGACTGTGAGTGGACTGAGTAATTTCTAGGGTTTCTTGTATGATTATGACTCATTTGCTTTTTGACCCATAGTGTAGTAAGGGCTTTACTTTGGTGTCATTTTGATCTTTTTTCTTTTTAATTACTCAAGTTATTTCTGTTGGCAGAAACCCTTCCCTCTACCAAAGGGCCTTTTATTCTACTTGACTTTGGACTATCCAACTCTGCTGTATTTGGCAAAACTGCAGGCCAACCCTCACAGAAATTGTGCCCTCTTTGGCGTCTATACACCTAAATATGCCATTTAATCTAATCATAATGTTATTGCCACTTTGCAGTGCCAAATCATCTGCCTCAACGATTAGAAACTTTCTCAAGGTCGGCTGGGTGTGGTGGCTCATGCCTGTAATCTTAGCATTTTGGGAGGCCGAGGTGAGCGGATTGCCTGAGCTCAGGAGTTCAAGACCAGCCTGGGCAAAATGGTGAAACCCCACCTCTACTAAAATACAAAAAAGTTACCTGGGCGTGGCGGCATGCACCTGTAATCCCAGTTACTTGGGAGGCTGAGGCAGAAGAATTGCTTAAACCCGGGAGGTGGAGGTTGCAGTGAGCCGAGATTGTGCCATTGCACTCCAGCCTGGGTGACAGAGCGAGATTCTGTCCCCCCCCAAAAAAAAAAGAAAAGAAAAAACTTCCTTAAAGTCAATGATTCTAATTATACAATAAGACCTCTTTCTCTAGCCTTTTTACAAGTCTAAACACAAGACCACTTAATAGGAACAGCCTTAATTTATCTATAAATGTTTTCTACATATTTTTTATTTTCTTTGGTTCATTTTTCTTCCTTACAAAATCAAGCAACTGACTTCAGGAATTTTGCCTTTTATTTCCCTTAAATCTCCTCTCTGCATCCATCTAAGTGTTGAGCATTCAGTAGATAGCCAACAAATGTGTTGATGAAAGTCAGCAGAAGACCCTGATAGACTATAACTTTCTTTGCTTCACTTATTGCAGTTAACAAAAAGAGATATTGTGAAGGTAATTTACCATTAGAAGAGTGTTTTGAAATCCTTGAACAGAGAATATTCTCCAAAAATTGCATAAAATACTGCTGCAATTACAATGATTTCTGGATACCACTCTACTACAAATCTGTCACCCAGGAACAAAAATGCTGTGCAAGGCCAACATGTCACCTATTCCACCATACATGAAATAGTGGAGTTGGCTGTAATACCTGGAAACTAGAAAAGTTAATTTAAAGAAAATTTCAGCTAAGGTAAAACTCTTTGAAAAAAATGGAAGGATGCTCCACAAAGTGTTCCAGCCTGGAATCTGGAATGACTATTTTCTTTTTTTCAAATACATCTTGTGAAATTAGAATGATTCTCCCTGTGGACTGTGTACTGTAAATCAAGTTTTAATAAGTGGACACTTTATGAAAGACATTTTGAACTCATAGCTAGGAAAACATTCTACTGATCTAATGACAAGAATATAATTAGAAGATAAGATTTCAATATAAAATGATCATAACTAAAAATTGAATGAATGATGCAATTGAAACATTACAATAAAAAGCCCCCAGGTCTTGAAAGATTTAATGAAAATACACTGGATAATTAGCATTATGGTTTAATAATCAATATAAAGCTTGGCAATTCTTGGGAAAACTACTGACTTCCATTATTTAAAACAATACTTAATATTTTATAATGAAAAATGCTTACATAATGCTTTTGAATCACTCTTATTATCAAATTGCTGGGGTTTTTTTCTCTCTGGAATCTTTAATCACTTTTACTCTTCGTCAGACAAACCTCTTTTCATTTTTCAAATCTCAGTCTAATTGTCTCTTTTTCAAATTGATCTATTCTGAACCCTTCAATATTAGCTATTTTCCCACTGATATTCTCTCCAATTGCATATTTTTATATTAATTTAAAAGGTATACTATTCCTTGTATTTGTAGATTTATTTTGGATTTTTCTTTAATGACTGTCTCCTTCACTAAACCATAACATCCTTGAAAGTAGGGTATTGGTCTCTTCTTTGACATTCTACACCTGACATCTAACACAATGTCTTACTCTCAATACATGCTTGTTAAATGATCAAAAGAATTAAAAAGTCATAATGCTGCATCAAGCCACCAGTGCACTAATTCATTTTGATAGTTTAAAATGTATAATATAAACCCTATTTCCAATTTACAAAGGATTAAAGGGTGACTAAGATACTCTCAATTGATTGGTAGCAGTTAGATGGGCAGCCTGTTTTACTTTCTCTTCTCATTATTTTTATTTTTTCAATAATTCTTAGCTTTATAGATTTAGGGGGAAGTTTTGTTACTTTTTAAAAATAATTTCAACTTTTATTTTAGATTAATGGGGTATATGTGCAGGTTTGTTAAATGGGTGTATTGCATGATGCTGAGGTTTAAGAGAACAAGTTATCCATTCACACAGGTAATGAGCCTAGTATCAAATAACTAGTTTTTCAACTCTTGCCCCCTTCACTCCTTCCCCACTCTGGTAGTCCACAGAGTCCATTGTTGCCATCTTTATGTCTATGATTACTCAGTGTTTAGCACCCCCTTATAAGTGAGAACATTGTGGTATTTGGTTTTCTCTTCCTGTGTAAATTTGCTTAAGATAATGGCCTCTCACTGCATCCATGTTTCTGCAAAGGACATTACTTTGTTCTTTTTAAGGCTACATAGTATTCCATGGTGTATATTTACCACATATTCTTTATCCAATCCACCAGTGCTGGGCACCTAGGTTGATCCATGTCTGCTATTGCGAATAGTGATGTAATGAGCATATAAGTGCAACTGTCTTTTTAGTAGCATAACTTATTTTCTTTCAAATATATACCCAGTGATGGGATTGCTGGGTCAAATAATAGTTTTTTTAAAGGTCTTTGAGAACTCTCCAAACTGCTTTCCACAGTGGCTGAAGTAATTTACATTCCCACAAACAGTGTATAAGCATTTCCTTTTCTCCACAGCCTTGACAGCACCTGACATTTTCTGACTTTTTAATAATAGGTATTCTGACTGGTGTGAGATGGTATCTCATTGTGGATTTGATATACACTTCTCTGATGATTAGTGATGTGGAACCTTTTTTAAATGTGGTTTTTGGTTGTTTGTATGTACGTGAATATACCATTTCATGGTGAATTCTGGGCTTTTAGTATAATCATCAACCAAATAGTGTACCTTGTAACAAATGTACCAAAATACCCAAAAGAAGGGAAATCAGTATATTGAAGAGATATCTGCTCTCCTATGTTTGTTGAAGCTGAGATTTTGAAGCAACCTAAGTGTTCATCAACAGATAAATGGATAAAGAAAAAGTGGTACATATACACAATGGAGCACTAGTCAGCCATCAAAAACAATGAGATCCAGTCATTTGCAACAACATGTATGAAACTAGACATCATTATGCTAAGTGAGATAAGCCAGGCACAGAAAGACAAACATTACATGTTCTTACTTATTTGTGGGATCTAAAATTCAAAACAATTGAACTCATGGACACAGAAAATAGAATAGTTACCAGAGGCTGGGAAGGGTAGTGAGGGGTAGGGATGTTTAAAGGGTACAAAAAGTAGTTAGAAAGAATGAATAAGACCTATATTTGATAGCACAACAGGGTGACTACAGTCAATAATAACTTAATTTTACCCTTTAAGATAGCTTAAAGAATGTAATTTGATTGTATATAACTTAAAGGAGTTAAATGGTTGATGGGGTGGATACCCCTCTTCTCTTTGATGTGCTTATTTCATATTACATGCCAGTCTCAAAACATCTCATGTTCTCGTAAATATATACATCTACTCTATACCCACAAAATTTTTTTTAAAAACAGATCAGCATGGCCCCTGAACAAGGATGACAGGCAAATTCATGAAGTGTTTCATATTTTTAGCTGCTCTTGCCATGGTGGAAAAAAAATGATAACTATGTGGGAATATGAATATGTCATCTTGTTTTATAATAGTACCAATTTTTCTATATCTATGTATCACAAAACATCTGGTTGTGTATGTTAAACATACATAACAAGATTTATTTTAAAAAAGAAACATATAAATACTGGGGAAAAAACTATTATTCATATTTTTAAAAAGCTGTGACATGGACTTAAGGAGTCATAAAATGTCAATGAAGGCATTAAGAGGTTTCTGAAACCTAATAACTTAATTATTTGCATAGAATTAGGAATGAAGAACCCTCTTGGGAAGCATACTTTATAATGCTCCTCTTCAGTCTTTCTTACTTTTGACTATTTATTAGGGTATATGTGTTGTTACAGTGACTGAATTAGATGAGATTTTTAGGTTTTGAGGGAGCATTTAGAAGAAAAAAGTATTGACTTCTGACTTCGGAGTTACGTTTCCTGAGTTTGATTTGATGCTTAGCTATTTACCAGCTGTGTAACACTGGCCAAACTTCCTAATCTCTCTGTGCCTTAGTTTTCCCATATTTAAAATGAGATGAGATTTTAAACATGTGTCAGCCCCTCTCATTACAGGCCTGGAAGCCTAGGAGGAAAAACTTGTTTGATGGGAAGGGCACAGCGACCCCCTGCTGTGTGCAGCCTATGGACTTGGTGCTCTGCATCATGACCACTCCAGCTGTGGTTGAAAGAGGCCAAGGTATAGCTCAGGCCATGGCTTCAGACGGTGCAAACCCCAAGCCTTGGCAGCTTCCACATGGTGTCGAGCCTGCAGGTGCATAGAATTCAAGAATTGAGGTTTTGGAACCTATGCCTAGATTTCAGAGAATGTATGGAAACACCTGGCTGTCCAGGCAGAAGATTTCTGCAGGGGCAGAGCAATCATGCAGATCCTCTGCTAGGGCAGTGCAGAAGAGAAATGTGGTATTGGATCCCACACACAGAGCCCCACTGGGGCACTGCCTAGTGGAGCTGGGAGAAGGGGGCCACTGTCTTCCAGACCCCAGAATGGTAGATCCACTGAGAGCTCTCACCATGCACCTGGAAAAGCCGCAGACACTCAACACCAGCCCGTGAAAACTGCTGGGAGGGAGGCTGTACCCTCCAAAGCCACAGGGGTGGAGCTGCCCAAGGTTGTGGGAGCCCACCTCTTGCATCAGTGTGCCCTGGATGTAAGACATGAAGTTAAAGGAGATCATTTTGGGACTTTAAAGTTTAATGATTGTCCTATTGGACCTATTGGATTTTGGACTTGAATGGGGCCTGTAGCCCCTTAGTTTTGGCCGATTTCTTCCATTTGGAATGTGTGTGTTTGCCCAATGCCTGTATCTCCATTGTATCTGGATAGTAACTAACTTTCCTTTGATTTTGCAGGCTCATAGGCATTGT